>NC_000009.12:98523582-98675097 GCF_000001405.40 Homo sapiens
TCCGAAAAGAAAAAGCCAACAGAAGTTCTAGATCTACAGGAGGGGCTTGAGGATGCTAGGAAGTGCAACCGGGAACCTAGATTAGCAGCAGTAACCAGTGGGACCAGTGTCCACAGCACACTCAAGTGGCAGCAGGAAGCAAGGGCTGCAGAATGCTGGCTCTCCCAGCTTTCTATTAGAAAACCCACCAGAGTTGTTGGTCATTTTAGAGAGGGGTGGTACTTCAAGACAGAGACACTGACCCTAGTGTATCTGGCAGATGGAGTGCTTGATCCAGGTTTAATTTCATTTGAAAAAATAATAAAAAATGTAACCATTTCTTTCCCACAGAATTTAAGATGTTAATAACAATTACATCAATAAAAGAAGCAAACTATCTAATCAAGGGGAAAAGTGGGAAAAACAAGAAAGGGCCTATAACAAAAAAACAGAGGCTTTAAAAATTGTCCTGAAATATATGCTAATAAATTTGAAGATCCCAAAGAAATGGACTATTTTTGAGAAAATATGTTACTAAATCCATTTAAGGAGTATAAAGCCAAAATCAATAAGCATGGAAGAAGCTACAAAGATAACTTGTAAAAAGGGCAGACTGAAAAATGTAAAATCCTGGATGGTTTCATAGACACACCTTTTTATTTTCAAAGAGCAGTTAATTTGTATCTATAAACTGTATAGGGCACCTAAAAACATGGAAAGCTTTCCAACTCTTGTCGTAAAACTAGAATATTCCTGACAACTAAACCTGACAAAGACAGCACAATCACGGCAAAATATAAATTATCATACGTACTTACAGAAAAAAATAGATGAATTGGTTAAAAGAAAAACAAACAGCACAACAAACAGTGGAATGCCAATATGGTTTAATGTAAATATGAATGCCAGACCCATTTATCCAATAGCCTATTCAACCTCTCCATCTGGATATTCAACAGGCGTATCTAAACTGTTGACCCCCTTCATGGAAACTTGCTCCTCTGCACTCTCCCTCAAGTTGAGAAGTGATAACTCATTCTGTCCAGTTGCTCAGATCAAAAACTTTGGCGCCATCTTTGATGCCTCACTGTTTATCGCTCACACACTCATTCATTCCATCAGGAAATCTTGTCAGCTCTACTGTCAAAAATATCTAGAATCTGGTTGATTTTCACTATCTAGTTCAAGTCACCACCACCCTCTACTCGGTGGTGCCAAAAGCACCACTTTTAAAAACCTAAGTCAGATAAAATCCCTCTTATTAAAAAAAAAACTCTCCAGTAGTCCAGAAAGAAATCCATACTACAATGGTCAGTCGATTTCAACAAGGGTGCCAAGACCATTTAATGAAGAAATAATAATCTTTTCAACAAATGGTCCTGGAACAATTGAATAGCTTCATATGAAAGAATGAAGTTGGAACCTTACCTCACACCAAATATAAAAGTTAACTCAAAAGAGATCAAAGATCAGGGATTGTATCTGACTATAAAATTCTTAGAAGGAAGCATGGGCTGAAGTGTTCATGACCTTGAATTAGACAATGGTCTCTTAAATATGACATCAAAAGTAAAAGCAGCAAAAGAAAAAAAGATAGATTTGACCTTACTAAAATTAAAAACTTTTGTGCAAAAAAACACCATTAAGAAAGTAAAAAGAACCCTTAGAATGGGAGAAAATATTTGCAAGTCACCTATCTGATATGATCTAATCCAGAATATATAAAGAATGCTTACAACTCAATAACAAAAAGACAAACAACCCAATTAAAAATTGGACAAAGGATTTGAATAGGCATATCTCCAAAGAGGATATACAAATAGCTAATAAGCACATGAACACATGTTCAACATCATTATTCATTAGAGAAATGCACATCAAAACCACAATGAGACACCATGTCACACCCACTAAGATGGTTATAATCTCTTCTAAAATGGAAAATAACAAGTGTTTGCAAGGATGTGGAGAAACTGGAACCCTCATACCTTGCTGGTGGGAATGTAAATGGTATATCCATTGATGCAAACCAGAAAATGGCTTGGCAGTTTCTCAAAATGTTAAACGTAGAGTTACCAAATGACCCAGCAATTCCACTTCTAGGTGTAAATCCAAGAGAAATGAAAACATACATCCCCACAAAAACTTGTACACAATGTTCATGGCACCATTATTCATAATAGTCAAAAGTAGAAACAACTGAAATGTCCATCAACTGATGAATGATAAAATGTGTTACATCCACAAATTGGAATATTATTTGTCCATAAAAAAGAAAGGAAGTACTGATATATGCTACAACGTGGATGAACCTTGAAAACATTATGCTAAGTGAAATAAGTTAACACAAATGCCACATATTTTGTAATTCCATTTATATGAAATGTCATTATAGGCAAATCTATAGAGACAGAAAGTAGATTAACAGCTGGGGGCCGGAGAAAATGAGTGGCTGCTAATGGATGTGGAATTTCTTTTTGGAGTGATGAAATATTCTCAAATTACATAGTGGTAATTGTTGCACATTATTGTGTATATACTGAAAACCATTTAATTGTATGCTTTAAAATGGTGGACTTTATGGTATGTGAATTTTTTCCCAATAAAAACAAAACCCAAAACATTCTCCAATAGTTTCCCAACTGACTCAAAGTATAAGCCAAAGTCTTCACAAATATCCTAAAAGAACCACAGATCTCTTGCCCCACCTCCACTCCACACCAACCACTCTACTTCTCCCACACCCACCCTGTTCCAGTCATCATAGCCTTCCTGACATTGCTCCAGCACTTCCAGAGTCCCTCCCACCTCAGGACCTTTGTGCATCTGTTCTCTCTGCCTGGAACCCTCTTCTCTCAGGTCTCCTTATAACCTGCCCCTCACTGCTTTCAGGTGGCTGCCCAAACATCACCTCTTTGAGGCTCTGCTTGACTTCACCACTCTCTGCATGGGATTTCCTACTCCCTTAACTCTACTTTGTCTCCCTAGCACTTGTTATCATCTGACATATTTTAAATTTATTTGCTCATTATTTTTTTAAATCATTTGTTTCCCCCACTAGAATGTAAGCTCCTTGAGGGCAGGGACTTTGTTTCACTCACTGATGTGTCTACAGCACCTAGAATGGTGACCAACACAAGCTAGGCACTCAATACATATGTCTTAAATGAATGAATGTATTACCAAATGGGTACAAGGAAACTGATGACTATAATTTGTCACACTAATAGATCAAAGTAAAAATCCATAGCTATCAATACAAATTCTAAAAAGGCATCTGACATTTTAGCATGCATAGCTAAATAGGTACAAACACTGAGTAAATAAAAATAGAACATCCCTTGAGATGAGGAGGAATATCTGCTCTTCTAACAGACATCAAACCTTACTAAGAGCATTCTCATTAAAGTCAAGGACAAGACAAGAATACCCACTGTTATCACTATTTTAAAATATAACTCTAGAACATCCAGTGAATGAAGCAATATTAACGACAATAACATATATTATTCATATGTTAATAATATATAATAATAATATATATATTATATATATATATGTATATATAAAATAGTGGGTATTCACTCCTTTGGACACTGTTCTAAGCCCTAAATGCTTTACATGTGTTAGCTGTTTTAATACTCATGACACCTAAGGTTATATTAGCATTTCCCCATTATCAGGGACACAGAAAAATTAAACAACTTGCCCAAAGTCACCCAGCTGGCAAGTAGCTGAGTTGGAATTAGAACTCAGACGGTCATTCTGCTATGACTGTCATTTACCACTATGCAGTACCGCCTCAATGAAAAATGATGAAAATAAAGATGCCATAATGCTGGAAAATAGAAAGCAAGTTTATTCTTGCTCCAGATGTTATTATATCTACCTAGAAAATCCAAGAGAATTAAGAGAGGAAAAACTAGCAGAAATAATAGGAGTTCAATGTAGCCAGTCATAAGATGTGGATATATACATCAATAGTTTTCTCATATCCCACCAATAACCACTTAAAAACATCAAGCAAACTAGATCCCATTCCCCAAAGCAATAATAAATGTAAAATACCTGATAATAAACCTAACCGTTCATGGAAAGGACCTGTATGAAGAAAATGACAAAACTTTGCTGAGGATCCAACAAGAAACGTTCCATATGCATGAGTGGGAAGACATGGTATATAAAGATGTCAACTCTTCTACAAATTAATTAAAGTAACTAAAATTCAAACAAAAATGCCAAGAATTAAACTGGTGAAAATGAAGGCAACTGTTAAGAAAGAAAGGAGAGCTGCACATTAAACTATATTATAAAGGAGCCCTGAGGTACCCATTCCAGCATAGACAGATTAATGGAACAAAATGTAAAAACTCAGCAACAGTCAAAAGCTGCACCGTCCAAGACAGTAGCCATCAGCCACATGTGATTATCAAGCGCTTGAAATCCTAATGACACATGTTGAAATGATAGCATTTTGGATATGTTGTATTAAATAAAATATATTATTAAAATTAATGTTACCTGTTTCTTTTTACTTTATAAAATGTGGCTACTAGAAAATTTAAAATTATATATGTTGGTTTGCATTATATTTCGATCATACAGAACTGGCCTAAAGCATAAGCAAAAGTGTAATATATTATTTTCTAAAGATAAAATTTAGCATAGGCATTTTAAGTAAATCAGAAAAAGATATATTAAGTGCTGAAAGAAAAATTGAGTGACTATAATGGCAGGAGAGGAAAGGCTGATATTTCAGACCATATACTGAAATTCCAGATAAAGTGAAGAATGAAGTAAAAAATATACTAGAAGAAAACATAGGTATGTATTTACAAAAATTTTGGAGATGGGAAGAGCTTGTCAAGCATAATGGAAAGGTGAAAAAAATGGTCTTGATAAATTTAACTGTATAACACACTAAATTTTTCAATAGATCAACTAATATCAAAAACAAAATTAAATGTCACATGAAACATGGAGAAATATCTTAACAAATATGACAAAAGGCTGATCTGATACCCTTACTTTATAAAGAGCTCTTATAAATCAGTAAAAAAAAGAACAGTCTAATGGGAAAAAGTGCCAACAACATGAACAGCCAATTTACAAAAGGAGAAACAGAAATGAGAAATATTCTTAGTAAAAAAGAAATTCAATCTCAATAGTAATGAAAAAAATGCAAATTAAAATAGCAATCGCCAAAAATCAGAAAAGAATAATACACAATACTGGCAGGGAATGGTCCCGTATACTGCTATGAAACTCTAAATTGGCATGATCTTTCTGGAGGACAATTTGGCAATATGTACAAAAGGTTCAAAAATGTGCATATGCTATTTCTAGGAATTAACTTCAGAAAATAATCAGAGATGTTCCCACAAAAGTACAAGTATGAGTTTACTGCATTATTTATAATCAGTAAAAATTGGCAACTACCTCCATGTTCAATAACGGCAGCCTTCTTGAGTAACTGATGGCATACGCACAGGGTAGAATAGTTTAAACAGGAATTGGATAAAGATGGTGAGAGCAAACACACATCTACCTCCTGTCCCATCCCCGAATCCTTGAAATGGCCGGCCAAAAAAATGTTAAGAAAAAAAAAAATCCCAACAGTTTTGGAAAAAAGAAGAAGACCGTTCATGGACAGGGTATTTGCAGAATTGTTGGAATATAGGAAGAAAGGGAACAGACTGTAGGATAAATATGACTGGAGGCAAATACAATTCAAAACACATCAGGGCTATGGCACAGATTGGGGTCAAGTCAAGAAGCACTGTAGCCATTAGGAGTCACGGTGACGGAGTCACGGAGAACATTTGCTGACCTGGGAAAACATTCTCCCTGCATTGCTAAGAAGCCATTTCGATAGCAAGAGCATGTATTTATTTACACACATTCATTTATGTGCATTGAAAAAATGGTAAAGACATCAGCCTAGATGTTAATGATGACCTTTCAGTGGGTAGGTTATGGCCAATTTTAAATTTTCCTTTGTGCTCTTTTGTGTTTTCCAAGTTTTCTGCATTGAGTTCATATCCATATTACAATTAAAAAACAATAATTAGTACTTTAAAATAAAAATAACCACAAAAAAGAACTTGACATTTTTATGGTAAGAAAGTAACTGTAATCTTATTATTTTTCCTTTGAATTACTGTAGTAACCTCCTGGCTGCTTTCACAGCCTCTGGTCTGCTCCTCCCAATTGGCCCTCAGGACTGCTACTATCTCACTTCTCATTTAAAAACCATCCATGGCTCCCAACTGCTGACAGGTAAAGTCTCAACTTAGAGGCATGCAGGGATCTTCGCCATCCTTCTTGCCTCCTAGCTCATCCTTCCACTTCTCATTCTGTTCATGGAGCTATCGAGCCCCAACAGACTCTTTGCTGTTTCCTGAAGGTTCCACACACCTTCCCAACTCCACTCCTTTGCTCATGCGGCTCTGGCACTACCCAAGCCTGGCAGATGGGCCTTGGGGGAGAAACCACAGCCAGAATGTACCAGAATAGCTCTAGGGAACCTACACACTACAAGATGCACTGCCCTGTCAGCCAAGAGGACCGGCAGAAACAACGTGTCCCGGGAAGGGTGGTAGGAGCAGCGTGAAGGGACAGTGCTCTGTTCTGAGATTCCCAACTTGAGAAAATAATAAAAATTAAATGCAGGATCCCATGGCAAAAATTCCAAAGGACTGTGAAGAGGTCCCCTTGAGACATGGTTGATTGGCCTGTATATTCACCTCCCTGCTTCTGTGGTAGGTGGGGTACAGGGACTTGGGGGGATATTGGCCCCAGACTCCTGGCTTCCTCTTCTTCACAAGGGCAGGCACAAACCGGGGTTCATGTCTATACCTGCCACTTCGTGGCTATGAGACCCTGGCATTACTTAATTCTCCCTGAGTGAGTCCGCTCTCTAAAAGGGAGACAGCACCAGGTGCTGTGGCTCACACCTGTAATACCAGCACTTTGGGAGGCCAAGGTGGGAGGGTCATTGGAGCCCAGAAGTTCGAGACCAGCCTGGGCAACAAAATGAGACTCTGTCTCGACAAAAAATAAAATAAAATAAAAATAACCAGGCGCGGTGGCGTGTGCCTGTAGTCTCAGCTATTTGGGAACCTGAGCCAGAAGATCGCTTGAGCCCAGGAGTTTGAGGCTGCAGTGAGCTACGACTGCACCACTGTACTCCAATCTGGATGATGGAGGGTAACCCCATCTCAAAAAAAAAATAGGGAGACCACACCATGCTGAATAATTGAACATAACTACCTGGCACACAGTAGGTTCTCAATAACTGGCAGATGAGATTTTAATCACATTTTCCTACTCCCAAGGTCCTGATGTGTGTGTGTATAGAGGGGGAAGGGTTGCTTCGCAAGGCTTGAGTCCTGCCCTGGGAGCCTGGCCCGGGGCTGGGCAGGTGGCACCAGGAAGTGTCCCTGGTGAGGGTGCTGAGGTCACTGTGGATGGTCCTTTTCCCCCAGAGACCTGAAGGATCTCCTGTGGACTGTTTTGAAGAAGGCACACTCAGTCAACGCTATGTTCCAGGATCCTCACAGCTTGAGTGGAGGATATATTTATCTAATATCACATGCCCTCTTGAGCAAAGAGTACAACACTCACCCAGCCCTTCAGGAGCCTGGCGTTGGCACCACAGACCCACGGCCAGTCACCCTAGCCTCTCTGAGCGGGGTCCATGTGGAGTGGGGAGAAGGACTCCACTCTGAGGACCTGGTGTGGAGTGTTATGGGGGACCATCCACTAGGTCCTGAGGTCTTCCTTTTGAACCAAAAATGGGACAGCCATCTTCTCTCTGCTCTGGAGTAGAGGGAGGAGGAGACTAGTGGGCCATCTGTCCCGAGGGCAGGAGCTCTGAGCCAGATAAAGGCATCCAAGCTCGGACATCTGTCTTCAGCAGGCTTAGCCATGGCAGCCACCACTGAGCAAAACATCCTGGAAATGCTCCAGATGTGCACACACTGCTCCAAGATGGCAGAAGCACTAGAAACTGGAGCCCCTGACAGGCGGTGGCTCTCACCTAGGTGGGGTCTTCCCACTCTGCAGGGGTGGGTAGGACAGAGCACTGCTAGTGGGCTGCACTTCCCACAGGGAACATTCACATGAAAGAACAAGTGTTGCTTGAACCCCAGGATCTGTCCCTATGGAGCCTCAGCAGAAGACTGAAGGCCTGTGGGGCTGATTCTTGACATTGATCAAATGCCTTTCCCATTGATTATCTGCTTTAGATCAGAGTTTCAAGGAGAAGTCTATTGCCAGTCCCACTCCCCACCCTTCACCCATCTATCCTCATGAGTTAAATAAACAGGCGGCTAAGTGCTTTTTATTCATCCCAGTGGTCCCCAAACTTCAGTCACTCCTGCACCTCTTAGAGGCCATTTCACCATGTCTGTGCACCACCCGTGTAAGCATTAATTAGTATTTTCAATTGAACGGTGTCACTTTTTAAACAGGGATTCCATCTTAAGCAATAACATCCATGAAGTACAGTTTTGATGTGCTAGTCATCATTTTACTTTTTCCTAGTGTATAATAACACAAATACAGAGATATTAAGATTGTACAAAAATCATATCACATATTTAAACCATTCTCTGGGAAATAATGGACCTACCCTAACCCTTCAAATGCCAAAGAGGCTGCCACAAACAACCACCAAGGTCTGGACAGGACAGATAAGAATCTTTTCCTGCTGGCTGACCCACAGGCCTGGCCCCTTGCAGAGCTCAAGGGAAGAGCACAGAGAAGGAGAGGATGCTTGCTTGGGCAGGCAGCCAAGTCACCTAAAAGCATTGGCAAGTTCTTCAGATAAAAGTTGGGGCCCGAGGTGGGGCACTAGTACCATTAGGATTAGAATCTGATCCGTCGGAGTCCCCTCTGTCTCCTAATGATAAAAGATCTGCAGATACGCTGGCAGCCCAGGTGATCCTGCAGCCAGGAGGGATGCCAAGGGCAGAGCTCAGAGGTGGCTCAGCCCTCCAAGTGTGCTTGGCCTTGTTCTTAGTTAAAGTGAGCTTGGGAGCACAGTGGTCCCACCTGAAGGCTGCCCATTCCTTCAGTGCAGTGGTTCTCACACTCTAGCTGCATCAAAATCATAAAGCTGAGCCCATCCCACAGTGTCTGATTCACTGGGGCTAGGACAGAGCCCAAGTGGTCCTGCTGATGATGCTGGTCCAGGGACCACACTTTGAGAACGACTGGTGTAGAAGTCAGTATTGCCCAATCCTGAAGAGAGAGGATTCTGAAGCATTAACAACTCAGGAAAAAATTCTCCCAGGATGACAAATTCAGGAAAATTAACTTGGACACAAACTACCGTGTGTGCATTCCCAAAGCCCAACACCTACATCATCTATAAGCAAGCACGTGGCAGGTTCCTGGGGATTGTTGATGCCAATGGCTGGTCCAGAACTTTCCACTGAGATCTCTAGAAGAATTTCCACCAACAAACAATGTCACATCCAAAAAAGACTTCAAGTTAAGAAATGATGGCATGACCTGAGTGGAATTCTGCAGGAGTCAGACTTGCTGACTCTGCCAGAACTGCCTGGCCCTTTGCAACGATCCCCCCTTGCCAAGTTGCCATCTGTCCCACCAAAGGGGCCTCGGGTCAACTCCTTTAAAGTTACTGCTTACTTTTCCAGAGCAGTATCCTGGGAGACACTCCTGCAGGGGAGGACAGGGAGACCCTGGGCTTGCATCTAACCTAGGAGTCACCCTTGTTAGAATCATCCGTCATTCCCTGCTGCTCTTCCAGATGGCCCGGGTGACTCAGGCAGGAGGCAGTCAAGAGAGGGAATGGACTCTTCACAAGCCTGGATGCTGGGGCTGGGGTTTCTCTGCACCCCTTACACCTTCATCTCACCATCCCAGGAACAGGTGGACTCAGGAAAACAGGAGGGAAAGAACTGCATTTGTCCCTAAGAATCTGGCCTAATGGATCAAGAATCATGTACTGAAATCCTCACTGAACATACCTGCACCAGGGAGCATGCAGGGTGAGGGGACACAGGGATCTGCTGTGGCTCTCATTCATCATCTCATCTCATCCCCCATCCAGTGACAGTGGGTGAGAGATGAGGAAGCAAATGGTGTCTTGTGCTGCATCATGCAAAGAACTGGTATGGGGAGAAAAATGAGGAGGAAGAACACAGAGACGGCACACCTGGAGCCAGCTGGGGAGGTTGAGCCAGATGGAGGGCAGGATGTTCCTGCCAAGAGAGAAGCCAGCATGGAGGTGTGGCTGGACCAAAGGGGCAAAGGAAGAAGTGACTGCAGGTGAGACAGAGGAGGAGGCCTCAGAGAGACCATAAAGGGTCTCGAGCCATGCTAAGGAGCTTGTTCCTGCTCAGAGCAGCAGGAGAGGATGATGATTCTAACAAGGGTGGCTTCTAGATTAGATGCAAGCCCAGGGTCTCCCCGTCCTCCCCTGCAGGAGTGTCTCCCAGGCTACTACTCTGGAAGAGTAAGCAGCAACTTTAGAGGAGTTGACCCAAGGCCCTTTTGGTGGGGCAGATGGCAACTTAGCAAGGGGTAAAGGTTTCAAAGGGCCAGGCAGGGCCCTGGAGGGCCTGAAAGGGCAGGTGCTTTGAAGAGGAAGCTCTGCAGATGCTGACCTTTTGGTCTCGGGCAGATTAAGGGCCTCACCTCAGTGGGGCCTGCCACTTGAGAGAGGTCGCCAGTACAGAAAGGTCAGCTTCAGAAGCCTCGAGATCACTGAGGACCAGTGACTAGGTGGGGAGTCTTGGAGCTTGGAGCTTGGAGGGAGAAAAGGGAAAGGCAGCCATGCTCATGGCAGGCACAGAAACTCAGCCATGCAGTGGGGCTCCTGAATAGGGGCCAGCCACGGGCTAAGGAACCTGATTCTGGATGTTAATAAAAATAACAGCTGCCCCTTGCATGGTGCTGAGGATAAGCCAGGCACTTTTCTTAGTAGTTTAAGTATCCTAACACATTGAATCCTCCCAACAACCCTAAGAGGTAGGTGCTATTATTATCCTCATGCTCAAGATGAAAAAAAGATGGCAAAGAAGCCTACGAAAAGATGCTCCACATCATATGACATGAGGGTAATGCAAATTAAAACAACAAGATACCACTGCACATCTATTAGAATGGCCAAACTCCAGAACGCTGACAATACCAAATACTGGAGAGGATGGGGAGTCACAGAAACTCTCATTCATTGCTGGTGGGAATGCAAAATGGTACAGCCACTTTGGAAGACAGTTTGGCGTTTTCTTACAACATGAAACATACCCTTACCATATGATCCAGCAATGGAGCTTCTTGGTATTTACCCAAAGAGCTGAAATCTGATGTCCACAAAAAATCCTGCGCATGGATGTTTAGAGCAGCTTTATTAATAATTGCAAAAAAATGAGAAGCCACCAAGATATCCTTCAGCAGATGAATGGATAAACTGTGGTACATCCTGACAATGGATACAGTTGACCCTTGGTAACCACAGGCTCCTCATCCATGGATTCAACCAACCATGAATTGAGGATATTTTTTTTCAGGGGGGCACCGGGGGAACAGAGTCTCACTCTGTTGCCAGGCTGAAGGACAGTAGTGCCATCTCAGCTCACTGCAACCTCCACCTCTCAGGTTCAAGTGATTCTCCTGCCTCAGCCTCCCAAGTAGCTGGAATTACAGGCGCCCGCTACCATGCCCAGTTAATTTTTTTTGTATTTTTAGTAGAGACAGGGTTTCACCATGTTGGCCAGGCTGGTCTCGAACTCCTGACCTCAGGTGATCTGCCCACCTCAGTCTCCCAGAGTGCTGGGATTACAGGCATGAGCCACCACACTCAGCCCGGATGGAGGATATTTTAAAAATAAATAAATAAATAAATAACAACAGAGCAACAAAAAATAACACAAAAAAAAACCCAATGCAGTATAACAACTATTTACCTAGCATTTACACTGTATTAGGTATTAAAGGTAATCTAGAGATAATTTAAAGAATATGGGAGGATGTGCATAGGCTATATGCAAACACTACACCATTTTATATCAGTGACTTGAGGATTCTCAGATTTTGGTACCCATGGGGGTCTGGGAACCAATCCCCCATGGTTACTAAGGGACAGCTGTGTTAATTCAGCACTAAAACTAAACAAGCTATCAAGCAATGAAAAGACATGGCGGAAAGTTAAATGCGTATTAAAGAAGGGAAATAAGCCAATCTGAAAAGGCTACATTCCGTATGATTCCAACTAAACGACATTATGGAAAAGGCAAAACTATGGGGATCAGTAAAAAGACAGAGGACTTTTAGGGTGGTGAAAATACTCTAATGATACTATAATGATGAATACATGTCATTACACATTTGTCCAAAACCATTCAATATACCCCACCAAGAGTGAACCCTAATGTAAACTCTGGAGTCTGGGTGATGATGCCCTGTCAATGTAGATTCATCAGTTGTAACAAATGGGCCACTCTGACAGGGATGGTGAGAATGAGGAGGCTGTGCCTGTGTGGGGGCAGGGAGCGTATGGGAAATCTCTGTACCTTACTCTCAATTTTGCTATGAATTTAAAATCCTCTAAAATTAGTCTCTTAAACAAACAAAGCAGAGGCACAAAGAGGCAAGTAATTCTCATGACCATGTCCCTGGGAGTGGCAGGATCAGGGTCAAAGGCCAGGTCTCCATAAGCTCACATCCTAGAATCCAAAATTCTTTGAGCTAGGAGGGATCTTAGAGGTCAACTGGCCCAATTCTCTTAGCTTACAGAAAGGGAAACTGAGACCCAGAGACAGCAAGTGATTGGCTTACGGGTACTTAAGCACTTAGTTGGTTAGCTGCAACATAGAATTGAGAGCCCAAAGAATAACTTGGTGAGGATGGTTGGGTAGACCATAAGACTTGAAAAGGGGGAGAGACCCAAATGTCTCTGCCTCCCTCTGCTGTCTTTCTAGGCATCCCCTGCCCACTGCCTTCATCTCCACCCCAAGCCCTATCTCCCTCCTGGGCCCGCAGTGCCCATGTGACATCACTCAGCACTCTGGCCTCTCAGCTCCTTGCCCTAAATTCCAGTGACCTGCACCTCCATGCCACAATGGGTCTTCACACATCACCAGGGTCTGGACTCTCGGTACTTATGCCCCTCTTCTGGCTCTGTCCACAGCCTCCCAACAACCCTCCAGTTCCTTACCGCAGCCCCTCAATGTGCACACGGGTTACCTGCCTGCCTATCCCTCTCCAACACAGACTTCGTGGACCACCCAACTCTTCACACCCCTACTGTTGTCTTCCATCTGGCAGGGCCCCCAGCACTGGACCAAGGCCTCCCTCCACCTTCTCCATCCTGCTCCTCAGTCCCCAGGCCTGCTGAGGGCCACAAGTAGACCGAGGCCACCAGGTAGAATGGGGCTACTTTGAGCTCAAGGTCTCCCACCACCAGAGGGCGTCACTTCCACCCTGAGCTCCTGACTCTGAGCCAATTACGCAGGACGTGAGTTCTCAACGCTGGCGACACACTGAAGCCACCTGGAGAGCTTGGACAGGCTCCAACACCAGGGTCGTCCAGTGTGGTTGCTCTGGGGATGGCCTGGGCATCAGGATTTTCAAAGCTCCCCAGATGCTCCATCCATACAAGGGATTACCACTCAGCAGTAGAAAGAAACAAACCACCGCCACATGCCACAGCATGATGTGCCTCAAACACTGCGCTAAGTGAAAGAAGCCAGACGCAAAAGACTGCGTGTTCTTTAATTCCATTTATATGAAATTTCCAGAAAAGGTAAAACTATTCCTGGGGCTGGGGGGTGGAACTGACTACAAATGGGCACATGGGAATTTTTAGAGTGATGAAGAGTGTTCTAAAACTGGATTGTGGCGATGGTTGCACAAACACATACTTTTTTTTTTTTGAGACAGGGTCTCACTGTCTCCCAAGTTAAAATGTGCAGTAGGGCAATCATAGCTCACTGCAGCCTTGAACTCCTGGGCTCAAGCCTCTCAGGTAGCTGGGACTATAGGTGTGCACCATCATGCCCAGTTAATTTTTGTATTTTTTTTTGTAGAGACAGGGCTTTGTCATGTTCTCCAGGCTGGTCTCAAACTTCTGGGCTCAAGCAATCCTTCCACTTTGGCTTCCCAAAGTGATGGAATTACAGGTGTGAGCCACCACACCTGGCCAACATAAAAAATTTATAAAAAATAATTGAACTGTACATTAACAACGGATGAACTGTATGGTATGTAAATTATATCTCAATAAGGCTATTAAAAGTGAAGAAAAGGAAATGGAAGAAAATCCAAAAATGTACATTTTATTTTGTATTAAAATCAAAATTTCCCTGGTGATTCTAGCGAGCAGCCAGAGTTGAGAACACAATGCAGGAAGCCTCACCACTCACCCCCAGGCTGTGTCATTGATCTCTGGTCCTCCACAGCACAGGGCCCATCACAGACCATGGCACATAGGAGGCCACACTGATTTTTTGAGTGAATGGGCCTGCATTTTCAGTTTGCCCCATGAATCACTGGAGAAGCAAATGGCTATTTAGTGAGCACCTACTACACAGAGATCTTTCATTTCTGTTTTCTCACTTAACCATCTCATCTTCAGTACCTGCAAGGTAGGATAAATAGCCCCATTTTACACAAGGGAAAAGTGGATCTCTATGAGGCCTAGGATCTCACAGCCATCACTTAGCAAGGATGGGCTCAGAGATCAGCCCACCTGGTACCAAATCCTTCCTTCTTTTGTCTCATTTACATCTTTCATCCAGAGGGGGCATGGCAGAGCAAGCTGAAACTTTCCAGTAGCCAATTCTCTCCATGGAACCCTGGTCCCAGCAGCAGCTCTAGATCTGATACATCCTAGGGTCAGCATGGGAAAGTGAATTGCCTGGGGTCACGCAGCCATGCTTGGCCAAAGTGGGCCTAGAGATCAGTACCTCAGACCCAAGTCCTGAGCAGCCTCTGGGTTACCATGGGCTTACCTTGAAACTCAGAGGTTGGAGGTGCTCACAGGAGCAGCTGGTCCCCAGGTGGGATGGCCCTCAGCCTTCTACCCGCTTCCATAGTCCTAATGCCACAGTAATAAGCTCCGTGGGAGTAAAGCCCCTCCACCACCCCCTCCGACTTCAGGATTTCTTTCACTTGACATTCCTTCCAGTGCACCAGTCCGGAACAGAAGTGCTTGACGTTGCTGATCGACCAGTTTCATAAAAGGAATCCAGTTTCCTTTGCACTCATGAAAAGCTGTTAGCCCCTGGCGAGTTTCCAGGGCCTGCACTCCAGCGATGCAGCCCAGACATTGAGAGAGGGATGCCAAAGCCCTTGGGCACAGAGAGGAGTCAGCTGGGCTGAGAGATTTAAATCAAGAGAGGTCCTTGCCAGCAATACCAGCAAGCAGCATCCTGTCCTCGGGAAAAAAGGTTTCCCACTGAGATGCCCTGAAACCCTGGCTGAGGGCCCCGACACGGCTGTGCAAGGGGAAAGATGTGCTACCCAACAGTCAAGACCTGAGATTACCCAGTGAGGACCATGTAGCGAGGACACACAGCAACAGCCTGAGGGTACAGCTTCCAGCCCTGCCTGGGCTCTTTACCAGCATGCGCCCTGGGGCAAGAGACCTCCCACCCTCTGCAAACCTCAGTTTCCCCATCTGTAAAATGGGAACCATCACTCCTCCTTACAGGGTGGCTGTCTGTGAGAGTTTTTGGGAATCTATAAGGCACACAACCAATGTCAGGGCTCACAATTTACCCCCTTTAGAACCAGTCTGGTGGGAATTTCAAACCTCTTAGGCTATATGCAGGTAGTTCCTATGCAATTCCAGGAAGCTAGAGAAGAAAAGAAGGAGAAATGGGAAGTCTGAACTGAGGGGTTCAGGACCCCAAAATTTAGTCCTGACTTTTCTGTGAACAATCTTTCATGACTTCAGAGGTGCCTTGAAACCTTGAACTTTGTCCCCTTCCCTCTCTGGGCCTTAGTTTCCCCTTCTACAAAATGAGGAGGGTAGGAGATATGTCTCTAAGGGTCCTTCAGGCTCTGACAGCCAAAGATGCTATTAGAAAAAAGCAGGTCTGGCCGGGCCCGGTGGCTCATGCCACTTTGGGAGCACTTTGGGAAGCTGAGGTGAGCAGATCAAGAGGTCAAGAGATCGAGACCATCCTAGCCAATATGGTGAAACCCCGTCTCTACTAAAAATACATAAATTAGCTGGGTGTGGTGGCACGTGCCTGTAGTCCCAGCTACTCGGGAGGCTGAGGCAGGAGAATTGCTTGAACCCAGGAGGCAGAGGTTGCAATGAGCCGAGATTGCGCCAGTGCACTCCAGCCTGGTGACAGAGTGAGACTTCGTCTAAAAAAAAAAAAAAAAAAAGAAAAAGAAAAGAAAAAGGAAAAAGCAAGTCTCTCTAAATCCTAGTAGAGTCCAGTGTTAATGGGGCCATGGGATGGGTCCTTCTTATCCTCCACCATCCACTTGTTTCACTCTCATTTTAGAACATTTCTCGCTTCTCTATGAAGGCGGCCTTTCAGCAAAAGCCTCTTCAGCGTTTGGCAATGAGTCACTCCCGCTGGAGGTCAAGTTCCCTTTGTGCCTCCTCCTAGGGGCTGAGAAACAGAGAGGTGGGAAGATGACGAGCAGTCTTGCCTGGGAAAAGCTTGCCTTGTTTGGATACCCACAGACAGTGGGGCCAAACACTTCCACTTTTCACGCACCTCCAAAAACAACCCTCTCTGTGTATGAACTTTACAGTTTACGAAGCTCTTTCAGATCCATTACTCATTGGATTTTGGCAGAAGCCCTGCAGGGAGGCATGCAAGAAGTTATTGTCCCCATTTTACAGGGGAGGAATCGAAGCTCAGAGAAGCAAGGTAACGTCTCCAAGGTCACACAGCCAATGTATGAAGTGGTCTCTCCTTCCCATGGAAGAGACAGGGGGCAAGAACCTCAGAAGGTAAGTGCAGAGCTGCAGTGGAAACCAGGTCTGCTGATTACCAGCCCTGTTCTACTCCCAACTTTCTTGCCACCCTGCCCGGCCTTTCCCCATTCCCAGGCTGGCAAGAGGCTGTGTGTCTGCCCCCACCGCTCCGGCTGAGGTCTGTCTAGACCCCTGACTCACACATGGAAATCCTCCACACGGCTAAAGTTTGTTTCTCTTGGGCTGCTAAGAACACTTGGTTTGTCTTGTGTTTTTGGAGGCTCCAAGTATCAAAAGCACACATGGGAATAGAAAGGAGAGGAGGAGGCACAAAGCAAATGGGAAAAAAGACAGGAGGCCATTTTGTACTCATCTGAGTGAGGCTAATGTTTCAAATATTTGTTAATATCCACTGTTAGTAAGGATATGTGAAAATGGGAATTTTCAAATGCTGTTGGTGGGACTAGAAATTAGAACTGCCTTTTTGGAAGTCAGTCCTTCTCAAATTTTTAAATGGCCCAGCAAATCCACTTCTAGAAGTCTACTGCCAAGACGCACACCTAGCCATGAGAGTATGGTTGTCCCATTGAAAAGTGGTCAACGTTCAGAGGGGCTGGCTCGGTAAGTTACGATATACCCATCTGACAGAACACCAGGTCCCTTTAAACCATGAGGTTAATCAAGACCTCTAAGATCTGTTGTAAAGTGAAAAAAGAAACATACATGATATGAAGTCATTTGGCTTTAAAACAAATACATTGAAAAAGTTCTAGGCAGATGAACCCCTAAGTGAAAGCAGGAGTTAACTTTCAGAGAGAAAGCATGATTCAGGTGGCTTAGGACAAAGCAACACTTTTACATTTTTTACTACCCATATTTTGGCTTTTTTTTCCCCCACAACAAAACACATACACAAAACAAAAAAATTGCCTACCATATATTAAGGTGTGTTTGTAAGTCACTTAGAACAAACAAAACTCTGTACCCCATCCAAGGTGACATTGGCATCTTCGGTCCAAGCCAGCCCTTCCCCAAAACTCTCCTCACAGATGAACACACCCCCTGGTAGAACTTTGTGATCTTAGATGGTCACGACAGCATCAGTAACAAAGACAAGCCCACAGGGCCACTGAGGGAATAAGCCACACGAGGTAGCCAATAAAAAGAATGAAAGGGAAGGTTCACTCCTGATGATGGTTTCCACCAGTCCTATGCACAGTGAAATTCCTCAGCTACCAGCTCTATTTTGTCAACGGTGAAACAGCTTTGATCGCACTAACCAACACATGCTTAAAAGCCCTGTGACAGTACCCATCCCTGACTAAACCACATTGCCTTTTGCTAGATGACAGCAGCAAGCAGTAAGGCAGGCCGTGTCCACACAAGCCGAGCGTACCTCAGAGAACCTCTGAACGTCTTGCGTCAGCGTGCCCACGCGCTTCCACTGGTAGTGCTTGAGCAACTTCAGAATGGCTGGATTCACCGCATTGTCTGATGGGACGGTCCGAAAGAAATAAGGGTATTTTTTCTTATCGGCTAGAACAGGCGTGGTTGCAGCAAAAGAAAGCTGAAAAACACAAAAGAGACAACGCTTTTTACTGATGAGCCTCACAGCTGTGACCCAGCATCTTTCCTACTGGAATAGAGACTGTTAGCTTCAACTTAGAGCATAAACACACAGGGACAGATATTTTTAAAACTTTTTTATTGTAAGAGTAACATATCATAATGGAAGGGAAGGTTTAAAAATGCAAAATAAGGAGGAAGAAGGGAAAAAATAGCCAATGATCTACCCCTCCCTAAAGAACCATCATTCATGTTATCGTCTATTCCTTCCCAGTCCTTTTTCTATGCAGTGATTGAATTTTTTAAAAAAGATCCTGAAATCATTCTACATGCACAATTGAACTGTTTTTCCCCATTTAACGGTATCCTTAAAAACTCTTCGTAAACCTTATAATAGCTGCACAATATTCCAGCATATGAATATACCATAAATTTACTGAATCGTTTCTAATTTGGGGTTATTTCGATTATTTCTAATTTGTCATTATCATCATATTATTCTACAGGCATCTTTGTACATAGCATTTTTGTTTTATATTTTGGGATGTTTCCATAAGATAGAGTCTGTGATGTAAAATTTTCCAGATAAAGAATATGAGTCTTTAAAGATTTATACTTATTTCCAAAAAACATTTTATCGGTTTGCAAATTTAGTAGCCAGGAATGATTAGAGGGCCAGTCTCACCACATCTTTGCCAACACAGGGAGTAAAAAATGTTATTCTGTCTAATTTTATAATGATTTATCACCAAATAAAACCCTGAATCATATCGCATTCATGGTTATAGATAATGCTGAACTTTTCCCTATGGTTATTAACTAGTAGCATATCCTATTTTAGGAGTTACTTTTTCATGTCCTTTGTTTATTTTTTGAGTGGTATTCTAATGCTTTTCAGATTGAATTTAATGAAGATATTTTATATATATAGCGTTCAAACTCAGGCTATTATAGTTGCTGCAAATATCTCAGTTTGCCTTTACATTTTATGTGTGTGTATTTTAATTTACACTCGATAGTCAAAGCTGTCCATCGTTCTCTTTATTATTTCTTCTTTTTCTTTTAAGTGCCAGTTAAGTTGTTAAGTTGGATTTTAATTGTCTGTTCCTGAAGGCCCAACCTAAATGCCACCCCTTCCATAACACTTCCTCTGATCTCTGTTCCTTCCCTCAGCCTCAGCCACAGAAGGTAGTTATCAAAGTTTTTGATCTTTGCAGTATGATGGTGAAAAGATGTTATCTGGTTATAGTTCTAATTTGCATTTTTCTTAGAGTGAGTGAAGTTGAATATTTCTATTTTGTTATATTAATTTTATTTATATATATATTTATTTATTATTTAGAGACAGGGTCCATTCTGTTGCCCAGACTGGAGTACAATGCTGCTATCATAGCTCACTGCAGCCTGGAACTCCTGGGTTCCAGCGATCCCCACCTGCCTTAGTCTCCGGGGTAGCTGGGACTATAGGTGTATGCCTCTATGCCTAGCTAATTTAAAAATCTGTCAGAGAAGGGGCCTCACTATGTTGCCTAGTCTGGTTTTGAACCCCTGGGCTCAAGCCTCTGGCCTCAGCCTCCTGAGTCACTGTGACTACAGGTGTGCTATCGCACCCAGCTTCTTCCTATGTGTAAAAGTAATTGGTAGTTCCTTTCTGGAAACTGTTCACATTTTTTGCTTGTTTTCTAATTTGACTAGTAGTCTTCCTTATCAGTTTATAGAAATGATCTTTTATATTAAGAAAATTAGCCCTTTATGATATAAGTTGCTAATTTTTCTCCCAGTTTGTACTTTGTTTCTTGATGTTGTTTATAGTGCCGTTTCCAGGTAATCACGGTTTTTTTTAATGAGGATGAATTTATCAGTTTTTTTCCTTTATGACTTCAGGTTTTATGTCATATTTAAGAAAGGCCTCTCTTACTCTGAGATTATAAAATAATTTCTCCATGGTTTCTTCTAGTCTGTCTGTCCTCCCTCCTTCCCTCCCTCCCTCCCTCCTTCTCTTCTTTTGTTTCATTCAAATCTTTGATCCAGAGAGGGCATGGATGAAGCAAGCTCAATCTTTGCTGCCACCAGCCATCTCCCCAAACCCTTGCTTGTCCCAGCAGCAGCTCTGGATTTGATCCATCCTAGGTTCCAATTTAAGCATCCAGGGAAATAACATCCTGGTACCCTCAGCCTCCAGCTAAAGTTGCTTTACCGCTTCTTCTGTCACCCTAGAACCACGTTCCCCTTACAAAAGTTTGTGGGGGGCAGTAGAGATTTGTCCCTTTCCATGTCTGTTTCAGAGGGTAGACAGCCACTCTCTAGAATTGCTGGATCTCCTATCTATTGGAGCTGACCACACAACAGTAATTCAGCCATTACCTGAAGCTACAGAGCCCCCGTAGAAACCATCTTCTAAGATCCAACAGAGAGACACCCCAAGACCGGTAAAGGTCAAAGGTAGAATGACTTTTGTCAGTGTTCAAAGATTCTTGGTAGACGAGGACTAATGAGAGGGAAATTTCAACTGGACACATTGAGGAACATTCACATCAGAGTTGTCTGGCCTTGGAAAACCTGCCATCAGAAGTAGTGAGATCCCTGTGTCTGGAGGTGTGCAAGCAAAGACTGGACCACAACCTAGTGAGAACAGAAGGGCTTCAAAGTGTCTGTGAACCCCCTGAAAACTGTAGGAAAGGATTTGCATGGCCATGTATGTGCAGACAGACATGCACATTTTTCTGAAAAAAAGAATCAGTGGCTTCCATCATATTCACAAAGAGGATCATTCCAACCAAATCAAGGTCTGCACACCTGCCTTCAGTTGACATTTAGGTCCCGTAGTGAGTGCGGGAAATAAAGCTCTCTATAGTCCCCTCAAACCTACTGTCTGTGATTCTTCTCACAAGATTAAAAACACTGCAAGCCTCCTATGCTCACCAGTGGGAGAAGGAGCTATTAGAAAAACCTGGGAGGAACTATTTCAGGACAGGGACATTATATATACCATCACATCCCCAAAAATCCTTATCTAATACAATTTGGAAAATATTGGCTTTCTGATGTGATTTCTTAATCACACTCTGGTTGCTACTTTACCATTATTGTCCCATTAGTTCCAGGTCCACAATTAATTGTTGCTTGAACAACCTCATGTTTTCCCTGTGGGTAATTACCGTGGTTACTGTTCAGTGAATAAATGGCCCATTGGGTTTACAATAGGCTTGGAGTACAATATGTGCCCCGGGTCTAAATCATGTTGGGTGCAAAATATTAACTGGCACTGACATTTTCTGCACCATTTGAGATAATGCACGCTTTGATTAGATTGCTTTGCGTCACTGTTTCTCTGGCTTTACTCTGGCTTTAGCCTCCTGAAACTTTCTTCCATGGGCAAAAACTGCAGGTGCCCAGTAGCACTGCTGGACTTCAAAACTAACAGACATCTGAGAAATCATCTAGCTCTGGGGTTCTTGGCACACTGGAGTTATTTGGGGGAGATTTTAAAGAATACTGATGACTTGGTCCCACTCCAAACGAACTGAATCAGAATCTCTGGGCATCTAGCCCAAGCATCAGTATTATTTAAAAATTTTCCAGGTGATTATGATGCTCAGTGAGGGTTGAGGACCACAGATACAGCTCCACACCCCTGGTTTGGAATAAGTAGACTGCAGCCCCGAAATAAGATATCAAAATTCCACTACAGCTAATAAGAGGTAGAAGCAGGACTTGAACCCGGGTCTATAGGACCCTAACACTAGTGCGCTTTCTCCCATGGATGACTATCTACCTGCCTCCTACATGCTCCCCAGGCCTTCTTCCCCTAGCACAGTCACCCAGCATCTGGCATCACCAGGGCTGTTAGCATTAGGGCCCTAACTTGGAGACCAAGCTTTCTGAGCTCTCCTGCCTTGTTTCGCATAACCAAGTTTGTTTCTGAACAGATTGTGATTGAGGCTTTGAGTTAATTCCTAGCCAAGGATTTATTTCGGAGAGTATTTTAAAATTTAATTTCTAGTTTTCTTATAATTTCTAGTTTTATTGCATTATTTTGAGAATTTGGCAAGTGCAGTGTCTGCTTTTGGAATTTATTGAGATTTTCTTTGTGGCCTATTATACAATCAACTTCTGTACAAGTTCCATGGTGGCTGGAAAAAAGATGAAATCTATAGTCATAAGCTATAGAATTCTTTATTAGACTACTTATGCATAATAGATATAACCAAACTAATTATATTATCATACGCTTTGTATTTTTGTTTACTTGATCTATCAAAGGCTGAGAAGTTTGTTAAACTTTTTTCTATTGTCTCTGACCATTTCTTCATGTATTTCAACTGTTTTTGCTTTTTATGTGTTCATTTTATCTTGTTTTGAGCATAAATGTTCATCACAATTATGTCTTCATTTTTCAGCAATATATACTTTTGCCTAGTGCAAATAACAGGCACTTAATAGATATTCATTGAGCGAGTGAAGATTGAAATATTTATCAAGATAAAATAAACCTGTTTGTCATTTTATTGCTTTTTGTTTGATACTGTATCACGCTTGTTATTAATACTGCAACCCTTACTGTATTTTTGCTTGCATTTGCCTGTCACTTTTTTATCCTCCTTTTATTCATATTCTATTAAGATTGTTTTTAAATACACATCTTGAAAAGAGCATATGGACAGATTTTAAAATATGTATGTTTATTGCTGTAGTAAATATTTGGCCTTGCATTTATCATCTCATTGGCCATCTCTTCTTTTTTAATGCTTCCCTTTTTTTGTTTCCTTTTGTTCCCGCTGGTTTTCAACTTTGTATCTATTCTTCTCTATTCTGGCTATGTGAATTAATCTTGCCTCAGGTCTCAGCCCGCTGGAGTACTTTTTAATAGGTACCTTGAGAAGGATAAAGGGTTGACAACTTACTGAGGATGGCCCTGTGTTGCACTGACACACGGCAGAATTTGGCTGGGCATGAAATTCTTGGGCTACCATTTCTCCCCTTTGAAACTACAAAGTGATGCAGAGGAGAAATTTGGGGCTGGCTTGATTGTCACTGATTGTCGTTCATTTGTAGGTACCCAGTTTCCTCTACCTGGAAGCCTGAAAGATTTTTTTTCCCCTTATTCCTGGAATTCAAAAAAATCGCACTCTTGATTTTATTTGGGATAAAGAGAGCCCTATACACGACCTGTATACAATCCATACACTCAAGTATTTCCAACTCAGTAAAAAAAAACCTAATATATATATATAAAATGACTATGCTATATTTATATTGTGTATATTGTTTTATATTTATATTTTTATAATATATTTAACATATTTATTACATATACATTTATAATATTGTATATATTATACATAATAAATATAGCATATGTAGTATGTTTATCATATATATATTTATATTATATTCCTATATATTCTTGTCTCTCCTCTGGGCCACAGGATTATCTGTATGTTGTCTCCTCATTCTCTAAATCCATATCTGTCCTATTTTCTTTTCATAATTGCATCTCTTAGTCCTTGTCCTCCTCAATCTAGAAGAGCATCTTATTTTACTGTATTTTATTACAAGGTATGTGCATATTAGCTTTCACTATTTTCTGGTAAAATGGCTGTACCCACAGCCCTAGCTGTAGGACATAAGTATTCTCATTTCTTCACATCCTGGCCAGTATTTGATATTATCTGACTTCCTAATTTTTGTTAGTCTTTCAGAGATAAAGTGGTACTTCATTATTGTTTGATTTTGCAGTGCTTTGCCTGGAATGTGGCTGAGTGGTGATACATAGACATGTTAGCTATTCGGGTTCTTTGTTCTGTGAGTTGCCTGACTTGCTTTTCAACAGCCTCAGTTTTAAGCCTTATTGACTTTAACATATTTGTATTGTGTTATTGACATTTTTAGTTTCCTATGAATTTTTCATGATCATCTCCCTTTTCGCCCCATCCTCCAATTGCAGGCTATTTCATGGAGCCTGCTTTGCTGCATATGATTGGGGAGGCTACACATCTTTCTAAAGTTTTCTTCTTTATCCTACAATAGATCATTTTCAGAGATGGACTCTTCCTCCACTTCTTCTGAGTACTCTGCTTTTTTTCATTATTTTTGAAGTACTTTTTCAAAGGTGTTTTAAATTTATTAATCCTCAAAAGCAAAGCAAGTGTTTTCAGGCTGGGCTTATCAAGAGACACATGTGGACGGCACTTGGCCCTGTTTTCTATTTACGTTTTAATTGCATATACTTCTCAGAAGGCCGGAGAATAAGTATTTAAGCACAGTTTTTGGTGTCTAGTAGGCTTTCACCTTAGGCTGGTCTACATTAAATAAGTGACATCATCTTTTACCCTCAGTGCCCAATTTTCTAATACTCTAGATCAACACAGTACATTAAATTCCCTTCCTGCACTGCTGCTAGGGTTTTTCTTTCCTGCCTAAAAAATTTCATGTGGGAAGTCTCTGCTTCCCAGAATGCAATTCACATCTAGTGTGCTCCCCTCCTCTTCTCATCCAGGTTTTTTTTCCCCCTAGGAATGTATAGCTCTGTCTGAGTTTAGTGAAAGAGAGATGAGAATAAAGAGAAAAAAGCAATTTGGTTGTCTCAGAGATCAGCAACTGTTAGGTAGAGGCAATAGCTATCCAATTTTCTAGTTGATATGAGTCCTGAGTCTAACTCAGATTGTAGGGGAGAAAGGAAAAGGTCTACCTGTTAATTTTCAACACAATTGTTATTTTATGAGGCAAGGTTTGGAATGCTAGGAAGCAAAGCTTAGGATTTTCTCAATCTAGAGCCATCTACTTTGTAATTAATGAAGCTTCTAAACATCTAGAATATCAATGAGTATTGGGGTCTCTTGGTTCCTTGAGAGTGTATGTATGTGTATGTTTTTTTGTTTGTTTATTTGTTTGGTTGGTTGGTTTTCTTTGAGATGGAGTCCTGCTCTATCGCCCAGGCTGGAGTGCAGTGGTGCAATCTCAGGTCACTGCAACCTCCGCCTCCCGATTGTTCAAGCGATTCTCCTGCCTCAGCCTCCCAAGCAGTGATTACAGGCACCCACCACCATGCCCAGCTAATTTCTTTTTGTTTTGGGATTTTTAGTAAAGATGGGGGTTTCACCATGTTGGACAGGCTGGTCTTGCGCTCCTGACCTCAGGTGATCCACCTGCTTTGGCCTCCCAAAGTGCTGGGATTACAGGCGTGAGCCACTGTGCCTGGCTTCTTTTCCATGTTTTGATAGTTTCAAAGGAAAGCTAAAAAAATGTTTTATTGGGTACCAAATGTTTTATTGAGTAGCCAAATACCCTTTTTTTTCATTTTTGGTTTATGCCATTTATTTATTTAGTAAACCATATGTTCTCAAATATTGCAAAAATAAAGTTCAAGTCAGTTTAGTAAAAGTATTAGAAAAATCACGAATAAATTTAGTCTGACTTAACCAAATATGTGGCAGGGCCTGGCACCCTCTTTCACGTTGTTCAGATGCCATTTAAACCACAAGGTGGTGTGAAGGTTTTTAAGGTTCATGATTGGTACCATCAAACTGCTCTCTAATGTGGTGGTGCTGCCATGCCCCTGGGGGCTGGTGGATAAGACTGCCCAGCTCATCCCATACTGGCCAGCTCTGGGCACTGAATGGGGTTTTTGCCCACCGCCCTGCTTGCCCCAGTCTGTAGCCAGGCTAAACCTGGATCACCAGCATTCTCTTTGTTTTGAGCAGTTGCCCAGGGAGTCTTGAGCACATCCTGGCCCACAGAAGATCCTTAAATAGCATCTCATTCTTTCACTCCCACCCCAGGAAGTGACCTGAGTGCTTCTGATAATGATGGCATCCAGGTACTACCCAATCTACGACCAGACCACAGGGCCTGATGGCTCCCCTGAACTATCCATGGCCACCTGGCCAGAGGAGTGGCAAAATCCTCCAGAATCTTGGTGTCAAGGACCAAGTTCACAAAGAATTAAGCACTATGAGTGGTTGCCTTGAAGCCAGCATATGGGCAAGGTGAAGCAGCTTTGACCTTCATCCTGGAGCGTCAAGATAGTCCTGTCCAAATCCTATAACCTAGTTCTCAGTATACAAATTTAGTATAACTGCCCCCCACCCATCACCTTTTATCTATGCCAAGTCTTCCCAGTTATCCCACCTGATCCTCACAACAACCCTGTGGCAGGTGCCGTTAGTAATCGTATGGATAAGAAAACCGAGGCTTAGAGGTTAAAAAACTTGCCCAACAAAGCAAATTGGGGCGAAAGCACAAAAGCTTTCATGCCCAAGAAAGCATGAAAATGTTTCAGCTCTAAATAGTGGTGATGGTTGAACAACGTTGTGAATGTACTCAATGACAATGACTCATCCACTTTAAAATGGTTAAAATGGCGAATTTTATCTTGTGCATTTTACCACAATATAAAAAGAAAAAAGGAACTTGTCCAAGATCATGCAACTTAGAAATGGAGGAGTGGAACCAGTACTGTTAAGTCATACTGCCTCCATCCTCACCACCACAGCCCCTCAGAAATGATACAAGCCCCTCAGTCTGAATCCCAGAGACATCCTGGCAAAGACGGGCAGCAGCTGAGTGTGATTCAGACCCCTGGACTCCAAAGACCTTGGATTTGGACCTCAACGCTGTCTTTTCCCAGCTGTGCAAACTTAGGCCACTAGTCCTTCTTGCATCTGTAGAACTAAGATTGTAAGCTCTGCCCTGCCTGCTTTGGAGGGGTGATGGCAGGATGTAAAAGAACTTTGTGGACTCTGAAGCTTTACAGATGCATAAAGTCCCCTGCATTCCCTGTGATTATGATTGCCAGAGAGTTCATAGATACTGGATTTGTGGAGAGTCTGTTCACACGGGGGATCCTTTGCAATCTTCCTGGGGGACAGGATTTTTGTTTTTATTTCCTCATCCTACACTCACTCAAAAAAAAAATCCATTCTCTAACATGCCTGAGAGTAAAGCCTGCTTGACAGTGGATAGATGAATGAATGGAGAAATGACCCAACCACCCAATCGGCCAGCCACAGTCTAAGCCATCCAAAGGAGAGTTTTTATGAACACACGTCTGACTTGGTGATTAATACTTTCAGACAGGGCTAGGTGCAGTGGCTCATGCCTGTAATCCCAGCACTTTGGGAGGCCGAGGTGCGTAGATCACTTGAGGTCGGCAATTTGTGACCAGCCTGGCCGACATGGTGAAACCCTGTCTCTACTAAAAATACAAAAATTAGCCGGGCGTGGTGGTGGGCACCTGTAATCCCAGCTACCCAGGAGGCTGAGGCAGAACAATCGCTTAAACCCAGGAAGAAGAGGTTGCAGTGAGCTGAGATCATGCCACCGCACTCCAGCCTCGGCGAGTGAAACAGAGCAAGACTTTGTCTCAACCAAACCAAACCAAACAAAACAAAAACTTTCAGACAGATTACCCAAGGTAGAAATTATGATCCATTTTATACCTGAAAAAACTGTGGCCCAGAAAGGTCATCCAGTAGACCAGGGAGGGAACAATTTATGCCATGGCTTCCAGGGCCTCTCAAACACAGCAAGTTTTGGAGGAGACATATTTAACCAGCAGCATGGGGTGGGAAGAGAGCCATGAGCATCTCTCTCCAGCTGGAGGCCTCTAGCCTGCCGTGATATGTTTCATGAGCGTTCAGGGCCTGCATACTGAACCATGAGTCACTTTAACAAGCAGCACCTGAATGCAGAGAGAAGTGGTGAGCTCATGCAGCTACGAGGCCTCTTTAGGGAGCCGGGACATTTAGGCTTAACCCTGTCCCTGTGACTGAGAGAACAAGGGTAAGTCATTTCCCCCCTTTTAGATGTCTGTTTTTCTCATCTCTGAAAGTGATGGATTGGACCAAAGATTTCAAAGGTTCTCTGCAACCACAAAAATCTATGCTTCGCGAACATTGAAGAAAATGATTAAGGAGTTTCTTGGTCTTGTGTGGGTGTGTGTTTTATTTAATCTGATTTATTCAGATAACTGCCATTGTGCCTCACTTCCATTTGCAGATACGAACCCAGACGAAAAATGTAAACTCATCTCCCAGCTTCAGGATCTTTATGACATTCCAAGGCATTGACGAATTCTTGCCTAAATGCAATTCATTCTTCACCTGTTTTGGGGCATCCGAGTTTAGCTTCTCTGCAAAAATAAACCATTTTTTTCAGGAGGCAGGTATAACCGGGCAGGGGGGACCACAGTTGCTAAGTCCTAGGTAAGGAACTCAGGCCAAATGCAAAGGGATGAGAAAATGATTGAGGCTTGCTCTTTTCTCTGTTGGTTTAATCTTTTTCCACGACTTTGCTGACTGTTTCTGTAATTAAATGAGGGAGGTATTTGTCATCTAGGGTTCCTTTCAGCTGAGATGAATGGAACGCAACTTTCTCAGGAAGCTTCTGACAAAACACTGTTTGTGGCCAGTGCCAGGATGTATACAAAGGCCCCAGGCTGTGTGTGTTGGGAACTCGGGTCCACTTCAGGTCTGCGCCAGGTCGCCGCTGTGCTCAAGCCCTGGTGAAAAACTGTTTGGACAAAAAGTGCCTCAACATAGATGCCGGTGAGATTAATGTGATGCGGGGTGGCTGCAAAGCATTTCCCAAGTTAACAAGGGAAAATGAATGCCTGGCATTTGAGTGAGTTCTGGAAGCCCCACTCCAACAAAAGGCCTTCTGGGGTATCGTGCATAGACTGGCTGTAAGATTTTAAATCTCTTTAGTCAGAGAGAGCTTGGGCTAGAACCTCTTGGGGAACAATCATTTCTCCTTTCTGTTAATGAGGTTTAGTTTTTCATCAAATGCACAGCAGTTCAGCTTTTACCACCCCCTGCTGTGGCCAGTCCTTTTTTTCTTTTTCTTTTTCTTAGAGACAGGGTCTCACTCTGTCACCCAGACTGGGGTACAGTAGCATGATCATAGCTCACTGCAGCCCGGAACTCTTGGGCTCAAGCATCCTCCTGCCTCTACCTCCTGAGTAGCTGGGATTATACCCACGTGCCACCATGCCTGGCTATTTTTTTTATTTTTTATATTTAGTAGAGACAGGGGTCTCGCTATTTTGCCCAGGCTGGTCTGAAACTCTTGGCCTCAAGTGATCCTCCTGCCTTGGCTTCCAAAAGTGCTGGGATTATAAGTGTGAGCCACTGCACTCAGCATATTCTTATTGGGAACTTGTGACAATTTGTAAGGGAGACATTAGTGCCTTTGTTTCCTGTGGGAGAAACTGAGTCTCAGGGAGGTATAGTGACTTGCCTGGGGCCCCATAGCTAGTAAGAGGCAAAGCAGCCAGGTGCGGTGGCTAACACCTGTAATCCCAGCACTTTGGGAGGCCGAGGCAGGAGGATTGCCTGAGGCCAGGAGTTCAAGACCAGCCTGGGCAACATGGCGAAACCCCATCTCTACAAAAAAATGCAAAAAATTAGGCATTGTGGTTCGAGTTTGTGGTCTCAGCTACTCGGGAGGCTGAGGCAGGAGAATCAACTGAGTCTGAGACATTGAGGCTGCAGTAAGCTGTGATTGTGCCACTGCACTCCAGCCTGGGTGACAGAGGAGACCCCTTCTCAAAAAGAGGAAAAAAAAGAGGCAAAGCTGGGACCTGAGCTTAGATATTTTGACTTCTTGAAATTATGAAATAATGAGCACGTACCGTGGAGCAAGCACTGCATGAAGGGCTTAGCATTCACTTCTTCACTTAATGTGCAAAACAACCCTATGAAGTAGATGTGATTCTGATCTGCATTTTCCAGATGAGGAGACTGAGCCTCGGAGAGGATAAGTGACTTGCACATGATCACTCCGCAAGCAACTGGCAGAGCAGGGAGACTAATGTCACAAGTCCCTGCTCATTCTGCAGAGTGCTATGATTCTTCTCTGTGATTTAACAATTCCCAAAACATATTTACTTCTCTAGTCTAATTTTGATCTTCACAAAAACCCATGATATCAGTAGAGTAGACTTTATTATTACCCTCATTTTTTAGATAAGGAAACTGATGTTCAGAGAGGTGACTTACTCAAAATCAGGTGACTTACTCAAAGCCGCATGTTAACAAATGGCAAGGCTAGGGTTTGGGACTTTGGTTCTTAGAATGACGTCCTCGCTCCAATTTTCTGGGCTGCTTCTCAGGGAGGCATCTGAGGCTAAGACTAGAAAGCAACCAGGGCAATTTAAAAGAAGAGAGAATTAGCCGGGCATGGTGGCGGGTGCCTGTAGTCCCAGCTACTTGGGAGGCTGAGGTAAGAGGACCGCTTGAGCCTAGGATTTAAGGGTGCAGTGAGCCAGGATCATGCCACTACACTCCAGCCTGAGCGAGAGTGAGGCCCTGTCAAAGAAAGAAAGAAAAAGAAAAGAAAGAAAAGAAAAAATAAAATTTATTTAAAAGAAAAAACAATAATACTTCATCAGTGGGTTAGTATGCTTTTGATTCTCTAAGATGGTCCAATGAAAACATATGAAACAAAAATCGTACGTATATTTAAAAACATTCTTCATCCTGGACGTTCTTCTTTTTAAACTTCTATTATCAAATAGAAACTACATACATAAGCACGTTAGATACTTTTAAAGAATAATAGCAAAACCAATATCCAGCTGCCTATCACCCAGTTTAAGAGACAGCATTTATTTATTATGATAAATTGTGAAGTCATTTAATGCTTTGCTCTTTAAGATATAATTGTTTTTGCTATATGGCATTCTATGATTCTTTATTACCTTCTTCACTCCCTTCTTTAACATTTCTATTATTATTTGACGTAAAGAAGATTGGAAAACAACTATTAGTTCCGCAAATCCTTTTATTTTAAGTCAAAAATGGGAGTAAATTAGAGAAATGGCAAAACCAAGTCGATGCTGAGAAAGCAGTGTGGCTCATAAGGGTAAGAATGCTGGGTTTCAGTTTGGACAGGCTGTGTCTGAATGCCACCTCCGCCCCTCCCTGTGCAACCTCAGAAGACTCCTCCAACTTTGGGAACTTCAGTCTCCTCCTCTGTAAATGGACTGGGGTCAGACAGGCACATTCCCATTTCAGGGCTGTCGTGAGGGTTGGAATAGCACAAGTGCCCAATTAATGATGGCTTACAGTAGACCACAATTTCTAGACTTAAAAGTTACAAGAACTAAGTTAGGAGAATTAGATGGTATTTCTTACAATCACACAGGGCCTTTTAATTTACAAAGCCCTTTCCTGCAATATTCCACCTCCCTAGGGAAGGCAGGGGAGGAGCATACCCATTTTACAGATGAGAAGCCTCAGCGAAGGAAAGGATTTGCTCAAACTCAAGTGGCTGCCACCAGGCAGGGACATCATTCTAAAGCAGGATGTCCAAATCCTAATCTATTATTTTAAAATGGTTTGTTAATTAAACAAATAATTATGATTGTATTGCTTGTCTAATTGTGTACAATTAGAATGTATGTCTTTAATTTTCTCTTAAACTTCTGGTAAAATGTTCCATTTTCCCCTCACAGCTGTGCAGGTGACAAATGCAGGAAATTAACAAATTACATTAGAAGCCTCTTTGGTTTCCTCGGCTCCTTTGCACTTGGCTTTCAGCTGATGTCTTTAGGGGTAAGAAGTGTTCTCGTGTGATCACAGCTGTGAAGCCAACCGCCTTTTAATTACCTCACTGCAGAAATCATGTCTCCTCATGTCAATATGGCACCTCTGATCAGTCCACAAGTTGAAATCACATCTGTCAGGGGTCGGGGGTGCTGGGGCCCCAGCTCGAGTCTTTGAGTGGGAGAGGATGCAGCATTTCTTACTTCTGGGATCATACTTCCTACTCATTTGTCCAGGCCTACTCACAGACACCTCCTCCAGGGAGCCTTCCCTGCTCTCCCTCAGTTCTCCCAGCACTGTTTCTTCCCTTTGTGGTGAGGCACTGAGAAGTGATGGGCAGCCAGGCCCACTTCACTGACTGCTCTATGAGCTCATTGAGGGCTGTCTGTGAGTTTGCTCTGTAGCCATGGGAGACATGGAGGGGAAAGGGAGACAGGAGGGTCACAAAATGCCTTCACACTTGTCTTCTTTAGACAGGAACTCACCCAGTTGTCACACAAAACAGAACAGAGGAGGAAGGAAAGTGCTGGTTTCTCTGGCTGAGGAAAACAGGGTTTGCGCCCCATCCCCTTGAGTAGATAGAGCTCAGGCAAAGCTCTGAGCGGCAGACTCGTACCAAGGAATCACTCAACCAGACAGGCCAAGCTTGCCAAGGAGGCCTGAGAGCCACCTGCCCGCTGACACTCAGAGGACATGGGAGGGCCTTCAGTGTGGCAGTCACTGGGCACCTCACAGCCCCAATCCCAGGGACACCGGGGCTCGAGAAGAAGGGGTCATCCTAGGTTCAGTTTACCCTGTGAGCCAACGCTTTCCACAGGCAAGAAAGTGGAGCACGAGACTCCACACCTCTGAAATGTGCTTCATGGTCAGTCCAGAGGAAACTTAGCTGAGTCAAGATCAAAGATTCAAAGATGCTTTCCCAGAACGAGAAGTTTTATTCCATGGGGCAGGGGGTCATCCAGGATCAGTGGCTGGGGCGGGGCTGGGGTTGCGCATGGGCAAGAGCACCCGGAAGTGAGTGCCGCTGTGTGCCTGTAGAACACACAGACCCAGCTCCTCTGGTCAGCTGCAAACCCGCCACCAACCTGCTAGGCCTCAGTTTCCTTAACTGTAAAATGGGGAGAATAAGTCCTGCCCTGACTAACTCTCCAGGGCTCTGTTAAAGATAAACTGAGACCGGGTGCGGTGGCTGACGCCTGAATCCCAGCACTTTGGGAGGCTGAGGTGGGCGGATCGCTTGAGCCTAGGAAGTGGAGACCAGTCTGGGCAAATTGGCAAAACCCCATCTCTATGGAAAAAAATAAAATTAGCCAAGCACGGTGGCCATGCCTGTGGTCCCAGCTACTTGGGAGGCTGAGGCAGAAGAATTGCTTAAGCCTGGGAGGTCAATTCTGCAGTGAGCCGTGATAGTGCCACTGTACTTCAGCTTGGGCAACCCAGCAAGACCCTACTTCAAAAATAAATAAGTAAACACACTGAGAACTTGGAATATGAACATGTTTTATAGGAAGTGAGTCCTAGTGCTATAATAGAAGATGAGGAGATGAGGGTTATGAGGCCCACTTGGCCTGCTCCCTCTCCACCTCTTTTGCTCCAGCGTCCTCTCTCACCCCCTCACTCCAGCCTTCTCTTTCCCAAAGCAGGCTCTCCCTCACTCCCCTCTGAAAAAGCCTTTCTGAACACCTTCCTACCTCCAGTCTACGCAGGGGGTGTCTCCCCTACTGCACCTCCATCAGACCTTATCACCTGTACTGTCATTGCATCCAAACTGTCACAGAATAAGCACTCAACTATGTGTTGAATAAATGAATGCAGAGGGAGCAAACTTACTGTGTGGGGTCTCAGAGGGAAAACCAGGGTCCATGTGTAACTGTTTCAGGGAGGCTGATACGGTCAATATGAAGAAGAAACCGTTCACAGTAAGGTATTCAAGAGTGAATCAAAATCTTGCAAAGTACTGAGTTCCCCAGCACTGGAGGTATTCAAGAAGATCCTCAGGGATCATCTGCCAGAGTCACAGAGGGGATTCCCAAATCAGCAGGGAGTTGAATTAGTCAGTGGTGTGCTTTGTATCCCAGGGAGCATACTCAGTGACTTCAAGTGAGTCCCAGATGACTATTTTATACCCTAAGAGACATGCTTTTCCTTAATTTGCTTTTATACTACCTTCTTAGTAAATGATACTGATTTTTCATTCATGGCATTTAGATAAAATTATGAGTCAGTTTAAGGGAACATACTAATTAAGTTAATAATACAAGTTGTACTTGCATTGGCAGAGTCAAGAAAGTGATATGAAAATGATAACGTCAGGGATACATGGGATTACAGGTTCATCAAAGAGTTTTTTACCAGAATATATGGTCCTTAGAAATAAACGTCTCCTACCCAAATCTCTATCACCTTCAATTAAATTAGGTCATAATGTGAATTTAAACAATTACAGAATGAGTTAGACTTTTATCTGGGCACTGGGGAATAGGCACTATCAGAAGTGTCAAGAAGAGAGGGTAGCTATCTTAAGAGAAATCAGCTACATAGAAAAAAAAACAAATAATGGAAATGGCCTAAGCGATAGCTTTGCCAGATTTAGCAACATTTGGGACATTCTTGCATTAAAAAACAAAGCAAAAAACCTTTTTGTGTATCTGAAATTCAAATTTAACTGGGCATCCTGTATTCTACCTGCTAACCCTAAGTAACCATTCAGGCCAGCTGTGGTAAAGGGCTGAACCTATGCCGTATCACCAGTGGGCTGATGGGGGCTACTGAGAAGTGGGCTAAGGGAGTGAAGAATGAGCATTTAGTGATCTATTAGTTATGTCTACAATTAGCATAGAAGGATAAAATAATACCATGGGTGCCATTTATTTATGTGCCATTCTGGGCTTGTCCAACTCTTCATTTTATACACAGAGGACCAGAAAGAAGGGATTTGCCCAGTCTTGCCCCCCAAGTTCATGGCTGGCAGGGCTAAACCCATTCGCTTCTCCACATTGCCTGCTCAGAATCTAAACAGAATCCTTCCAGTGCCACAATTATGTAACTTCAGACTATCCTGAGCAAACATGACCACTCACATCATCAGCCAGGACGCCCACAGCCACTCAAACCCTCCAGCTGATCCAGTGTCTCATCATGACTACACTGAAATGCCCTAGAATAACACAAAAGATGTGAAACAAAGTCCATTGACACCGAGTTCTGTTGAAGGAGTTGTCACTGTGACAGCAAAGCACTCAGGGATCTGAACCACATGCTGCTGATAGGGTATCTCCAGGGATCTCAATAGTACAGTTCTATGTTTGACTCTTCGTAGAAACTGAAAACAAGCATCATGCTTTATTACAAAGAAGCTCTTTCACTTACTGTTTATTAAATTGCATGGAATTGGACTCAATTTGGTTTTTTTTCTTAGTCTTTCTGTTCCTTCCTTCCCCTTTCTGGGCCTCGGTTTCCTGAAGAAGACTGTTCTAGGTAGTTTTTATTTCAGCTCTAAAATTTCATGATTTAGTAATTATATGTTTAATTAACTAATTTATTTTTATTTTATTTATTGAGACAGGGTCTCACTCTGTTGCCCAGGCTGAAGTGCAGTGGTGTGATCTCTGCTCACTGCATCCTCCACCTCCTGGGCTTAAGCAATCCTCCCACCTCAGCCTCCCCAGTAACTTGGACTACAGGCATGCACCACCACTCCTGGCTAATTTTTGTATTTTTAGTAGAGATGGGGTTTCGCCATGTTGGCCAGGCTGGTCTCAAACTCCTGGCCTCAAGTGATCCATCCACCTTGGCCTCCCAAAGTGCTGGGATTACAGGCGTGAGCCATATGTTTAATTTACAAACCAAAGAGAAAGTATTCTGTCTTTGGGCAAGAAAATGAAAATTGCTGAACCAGAGATAATGCCACCAGAAAGGTTTTAAATCAGCCTCTTTCACAAAGAGATTTATTTATTCTAATTGTTTTATGTCTCCATTTAGATATTAGCCTTTTACTTTCAGCTCTTTTAAATCAAGTTCATTCATTAGTTTTCTTAACAAAGATTTATTTTCTAGAAAAATTATAGATGCATTTATCCTTTGACCCAGAAATTCCACTTCTAGGAATTCATACCCAGTTTACACTGGCACAAATGTGACAATGTGGCCAAGGTTATTCCAAGAGATTGGAAATAATCCAAATGTCCATCAGTAGAGGACTGGCTGTACAAACTACAGTACATCCATACAAAGCAGGGCTGTGCATCTGTGAAAAAAAAAATAAGGAATGCCTTTCTACAGTGATAATACAGTGAAATCTGGGAAAATTAAGTAAAAAAAAAAGCAAGGTGCAGAAGAGTGTAGACTGTATGCTCCCTTTGCATAAAAAGAAGAAATGAGGAACAAACACACACACACACACACACTCACACACACACACTTGCTCATATTTTCAATAAGAAAAACTGGAAGGATAAATTAAAAACTAATAACAATGGTCACATTATATAAGGATGGCATGGAACAGAATGGAGAGAGCTTAGATTGGAGCCAAGAATTCTCTGCTATACATTTGACTATGGAATCATATAAAAGTTGTGTATAGTTTTTAAAATAAAATTAATCAACAAGGAGAAAAAAAATCAACCCCTAAACAGTGAAAACAAACCAGGACAAAGGAATCTAGGAATATATTAAGTTTCTAATAGAGTCACATGGAGAAAAATGTGTAAAGAGACTTTTGGACACATTTTCACTGTCCAGCCAAGGAGGACATATTCTTCCTCTCCACTATCCCACCACCCAGCACACGTGCGTGTGCGCATACACACATACACACACACACACATATACACATACACACACACACACATACACACACACACATATATACATGCACACACACACACATATACACACACACACATACACACAAAATACACATACACACATACACACACACAGGCGCATTCACAACTTTTTATTTTGAAAAATATTTAAAGAAGTTGAAAGAATAGTACGAGGAACATTGTATAGCATTCCTATAAATCCAAAAATATTTAAATAAAAATATTTAAAACAAAGAAGTTGAAACAATAGCATGAGGAATACTTTCACTTAGATTCACCATTTTCCACATCTGCTTTCCTCTCTCTCTTTTTAAATATATAGTATATATTATATTTAGTATTATATATATACTATATAGTAGTGTATATATATATATATACATAGACACACATATACATATATGCACACACATACACTTAATGATGTTTTTGAAGCATTTGAAATTAGCTTACAAATATCATGATACCTCATAACTAAATAGTTCAGAGTGCATCTTGGAAAGAATGAAATTATCCTATATCATTATAATGTCATTATCACAGTTATGAAAACGAACAATAATTCAGTATCATCTAATGCGTAGTCCATATTCAAATTTCTTCAATTTCCCAAAAATGCCCTTTTGTTTTAAAAATTCAGGATCCAGTCAATATTCACGCCTTGCTTTTGGTTGGCATTTTTTTAATTTTTTGATTACAACAGGCCTAGGTTGGCTTTATATGGTTTTTCTTATTGTTTTCCACAATATGGACTTTTTAAGAATTCAGGCCAGGTAAATTATAGAATGACCCATATTTGTCTGATTATCTCCTCATAGATTACAGTTTAAACACTTTAAAGATATTAAAAATTATATTTTCAAGCTCATTCCACTGAAAAAAAAAAACCGTGAAGGAATGAACCCCAGTAGCAACAAGTATACCTAGTACCCAAATGTTGGTTTCTTAACACAATTTCCTACCAGGAAGAATCAGGGCTCCTTGGAGGAATGGCTGGAATGGAGGAATGGAGGAATGGCTGATTCCAAGACTAAGGCAGGTAAAATATTAAGTGCTCAAATTAGTAGGGGAAGAGAAACAGAAAGAAGCAGGAGGAGGAGAAGAAAGAGTCAAAAAAGGGAAAGCTGTTCTGGAGAGAAGAATGCAGGCTTAAATGTAGAAGGAATATAATTAGAAAATGAGGTTGGGTGCAGTGGCTCACACCTATAACCCCAGCACTTCGGGAAGGCCGAGGCAGGAGGCTCGATTGAGCCTAGGAGTTTGAATCCAGCCTGAGCAACATGGCGAGACTCCGTCTCTACAAAAAAATTTTAAAATTAGCCTGGCATGGTGGCATGTGCCTATAATCCCAGCTACTGGGGAAGCTAAGGCAGGAGGATCCCTTGAGCGCAGGAGTTTGAGGTTACAGTGAGCTATGATCGTGCCACTGCATTCTAGCCTGGGTGATGGAATGAGACTGTCTCTCAAAAAAAGAAAGAAAAGAAAATTACCATTTTGCAACACCAATATGATACTGAGGCAGGCAAGCATCATAAATTGATGCTAAAACCATTGAGTAAAAGCTTGTGAGGAAATGGGATAGTCATACGGTCTCAGCGTTTCACCCCATAGATTACTTCATAATTACAGAGGGGGAAAAATGTATATTTACAATAAATTTGGAAGATACCACCTTAACCAAGTGATCAAATTTAGTATCATCAATAATAGTTCAAATTGACATCCTGGGCCCCCTGACTCGATGCACTGGGAAGAACACAGCATAAAAAATGTAGTATTCTTGCCAAAACTCATGAATCTAATCATGAGGAAACAAATGACAATTGTGGGACATTTTATAAAACAACTGGCTTGGGTTTTCTGAAAAAAAAGATCACTGTCCTGAAAGCCAAAAATATATGGCAACAAAGACAATGCATGTTCCTTGCTTGTGTCCAAATAAATTCCAATAAGGACAATTTTGGGACAACTGGAAAAATCTCAATATGGACCATATATTTGGTAATATTATTGTATCACTGTTAAATTTTTCAGATGTGGTTATATTAGGGTTATGTAAGAGGATATAATTGTCTTAGGAGATGCATGCTAATGTATTAGGGGTGAAGTGTCATTGTGTGTGCAAACTAATATCACATGCTTCAACAAAAAAATCAGTGACTGTGTGAGCGTGTGTGTGGGGGTGGTGCAGGGAAAGAGAGGAAAAGCAAAAACAAATATGGCAAAATGTAAACAACTGTCAATCCAGATAAAGGGTAAATGATGTTCATTGTACTTTAACTTCTTGTTGCAGGTTAAAGTAACTTTCAAAATAACAAAATTGGAGGAGAATTTTGGGGGAAAGGTAGAAACATAAATAGAGCAGCAAATGCTGGGCATTGTGGCTCACACCTGCAATCCCAGCACTTTGGGAGGCCTAGGTGAGAGGATCACTTGAGGTCAGGAGTTTCAGACCAGCCTGGGCAACATGACGAAACTCCATCTCTACAAAAAATACAAAAATTAGCCGGGTATGGTGGTGTGCGCCTGTAATCCCAGCTACTTGGGGGGCTGAGGGGGGAGGATCGCTTGAGCCCGGGAAATGGAGGTTGCAGTGAGCTGAGATCATGCCACTGTACTCCAGCCTGGGTGACAGAGCGAGACCCTGTCCAAAAAAAAAAAAAAAAAAAAAAAAAAAGAGCAGCAAAAACACTGTCTGCATGAAAAATAATGTCTCCAACTTACTGAAATACAGTACATTCAATATATTTTTGAAAATCTATGAATTCATGATGCTACTTACATTAAAGAGAAAGATTGAGAGCACCGAAAACCAAAATGGAAACCAAAGATTCACAGAGGTTCTCCTGGATTCTGGGCCATGAGCTGGGCTCTAAGGTTCCCCCGGCAAACAAAGGAGACGCTGCCTCGACTTCACAGAGAGAACAGTAACTATCAGGCAAGACTGCACTGAAGGAGGAAGTGAGCATGCTGTGGGCAGCGAGGGTTACCGGTTACGGACGCATCCACCGGAGGCACGCCCTGGAAACGCTTCCCAAACAAGTGGTGCTGAAGCCTTCTTGTTAGCGTGGGCCAGAGGATTGGGCCAAAACAGCTTTGCTGTGCCAAAGGTCCCTGTGCCCAATCCTCTAGGAATGGGCCCAGAGTCTCAGAAGACACCCCGGATGTGAAGGAAGTCATTCCCTCATACTTGCAAAGCCAACATGTCATGTTAGAAGAGGCTAAGACAGTACTATGTAATAGCTTTTATGGGAACATGGGGAAAATAGAGAAAATTATGCTTAAATCAGCATTTATGAATGTCTAGATCGTTATCTAACCTAGGATTGTTTTTCTCAAGTTGAACCCTTCCCACTGTATAAGGCTCAATCTCTTCATCATGGAAATAATAAATAATGTAATCATCTTAGGAAACAGATTCAAAGCAAAAGCCTTCTGTATAATTCACAACTAATGTAGACTATGCTCTATTTAGAAAAAAAATCAGCTCATTCTTTATAAAATCATCCAGAGTAGGACTATAAGTACTATTCTTGAAATACTTAGCATAGTTATTGATTTTCACCAACAACCAGTCGATCTATTTTCTGAGTTTGAAGGAATCATTTATTTTTTATACACAAGTTACTGAATGAGTAATAAGTTTAAAAGTGCTATGTATGCATGTGTGTGTGCATGTGTGGGTGTGTGGGGGTCATGAATGATTTACAGGGAGAACACAGCCTGTGTCAGGGGACACGTACTGCCTGGGTCCTCCATGGACAGGCAGGAAGTTCCTCGCCAACACAGCTGGAGAGGGAGGCAGAGACCCGGAGTCTGGAGCCTCCATGGCCCCCAGAGAGGCCACTCTTAGAGGCCTTCGGGAGACCTCACCTTGTGGCCTGCTTGCAGCAGGAAGCAGGGCCAGACTCTACTTTCTTTGAATCTTATTTTCCCCAATCTGAGAACAGGCCTAACTGGGACAACGCCTGCTCTTCAACCCCAAGTAGTGCAGTGAGGGTTACATGATACTGTGTGACAGGCAGTGTAGACTTGCGGTTGCAAGCAGGGACTCCGGAGCCATTTAAGAAGGGCAATCCTTTGGCAAGGCACTCAACCTCTTTGTGCCTCAGTTTTCTCATCTGTGAAATGAGGAGAATAACAGCCTCTTAGGGTTGGCATGTGAAGTGAATGAGTTAATTTATGCACAGTGTTTAGAACCATGCCTGGCCCATGGCAAAGGCTATAGACATGTGACAAATTAGTTTTTTAACAGGCCCTACAGGTGTGTCCAGTCACAATTCCTGAGCACCTACTTGAGGCAAGGCCCTTGGGGTACTGCTAAGACTCAGATGGGCAAGGACTGTCTGGGCCTGAAGGAGTTGTTTGGCAGGTGACACTGAAACCTCATCAGGGATTGTAATATATTGAGGAATGGGCAAAACAAAGGAAGTGAGGAAAACGCTGGGTACCTCCTCCAGCTGGGACCAGGGTTGGGGAAGACTAGGAAGCCTTCCTGGAGGAGGAGGTAAGACTTGAACTAAATATCAGGAAATACAGAGGACTGAGCCGGGGAGGAGGGGGAGCAGAAAGGGCATCGTGCAGTGAGAACAACATGGGCAACAGCTCTTGAGCTGTGGGGAGCAGGTTCTATGCCTTAGCATGAGGGGAAAGGACCAGACGGGGAAGGCCACCAGAAAGGCTGGCACCACAGCTCTCTGCCCTACCTGAGGTATGACTTTACACAGGCCACATCAGCTCTCTGGGCCTCACTTCCTGCAGAAGGGGTGTCCTACACCTGGAAAGCTCTGGCGGAGATCAAGAGACATTAAAGCTGAAGGCCTGGCACAGCTGCAAGGCTGCTCCTCTACTCTGTGTGGAGTTACATGTGTGAGCGGCCTCAGCCCCTGAGCACTTGCCTGGTTCCTTCTCACAGCTTCTAGACATGGAGGGGAAACCAGGCCTTATGAGCCCAGGGAAATCACATGCAGAGGCCCAAGAGGGACGATGCCAGGCTTAAGGCAGGCACTGATGGCTCTGAGCCACAGGTCATAATGACACAACATTATCGAGGTTATCAAGGCCCATCAACTGGCCCAACCCACTCCTCTTACACAGGGGCCCACAAGGAGCAAGAGATATCCCAAGACCACATAGCTCATCCCATGGAGGTGACCCCAGATCCCAGGGCTCTGTCTCTACCTGCACAGATAGGCCAAGATGTCACCTGGGTGACTATGTCCTTGAGTGGATGGCCACAGGAGGAAGAAGGAAGGCAATGCACCAGCACCCAGGGTCAGTATAATGCCACTGCCAAGCCCCAGACCAGGAACCGAGGCTGGAAGAGGCTAAGCAACCTGCCCCAGGCACCAGCTAACAAGCACCAGAGCCTGGATGTGAACCCCAGCCTATCTGCCCAAGCCTGAGACGCGTACCCGGTATTATTGGTATGTTGGCTCTCTGGCCCTCCATTTGCCCATCTGCACAGGTGAGCACCACACACCTTACCAAACACAACACTGGACGGGGCAGTCAGTGCCATGCCACCACATGCACCCGTGTGTCTGTCCGCAGAGCACCTGCCCAGCGGCTCAGCAGGCATCTTCCCAGTCTCACACTCTAAGGCAGTGGTTCCCACCCATGGCTGTGCCTCAGAATCACCCAGGGTGCTAACACACAGCACAGAGGATGAGGCGCCTAGAAGCAGGACGAGAGCTGGCGAAGGTGACCAACTTGTCCCGGCCAGCCTGGGACTTTCCTGGTTTGAATACTCACAGTCCTACTTCCTGGGGCACTCTCAATCCCAAAACAGGTATGATTGGTCACCCTATGCCTAGTGGGTTTTTGTATTTTACCAAGTTTCCAGGGGATCTTGATACTCATGAAGTTTGAGAACCACTGCCATAAAAAAAGCCCATTTTTAGTCAATTTTCCTCAACAAAATAGTAACCTTCACTCATGAATTACAGGAATGATGTTTTAAGAATAATATTGATGGCTGGGTGCAGTGGCCCACACCTGTAATCCCAGCACTTTGGAAGGCCGAGGCGGGCGGATCATGAGGTCAGAAGATCAAGACCATCCTGGCTAACACTGTGAAACTCCGTCTCTACTAAAATTACAAAAAATTAGCCAGGCACGGTGGCGGGCACCTGTAGTTGCAGCTACTCGGGAGGCCGAGGCAGGAGAATCATTTGAACCCAGGAGGTGGAGCTTGTAGTGAGCCGAGATTGTGCCACTGCACTCCAGCCTGGGTGACAGACTGAGACTCCGTCTCAAAAAGAAAAAAAAAATTTAAATTAGCTGGGCGTGGTAGTATGTGTCTGTAGTCCCAGCTGCTCAGGGAGGCTGAGGTGGGAGGATCACTTGAGCATGGGAGGTCAAGGCTGCAAGACACTGTCAAAAAAAAAAAAAAAAAAAAAAAGGCGACAAAGAAAAAGAAATAAGAAAGAAGAAGAAAGAAGAAGAAGAAGATTACATGCCTGCTGGGTGCCCAGCACTGTGTGACACATTTATTATTTCTATCTCTCATCCCAACCTTATTAGGCTGGTGTTAATCCCATTTTACATGTTTGTCCCCAGAGGGAGCTCATTTTCAAATTCCCTCTCCAGTTCTTTCTAGATGCAATCTGTAATTCCAGACTCAACTCTGTGTAATCTACAATTGTGCCGATCACTAGCAGCACCAGCTGTACCGTAAGTAGCGCGAGTGATTTATTTATTTAGAATGAATTATTTACAGCCCACATATTCCCAGAAAAGGGTTGAAGTGGCTGGCGGTGAAAGACGCATAAACAATGAGGCCACTGGACTTACACATTGGGAACTGATATTACTTTAGAGACCATGATCTTGAATTAAAAATAGGGGTCAGAACCTTAAATTGAATCTTTCACCAGGCCAACAGGAAAGACATGGGGTATGTCCTTGCAGGAATAGATTGGGAACCACCCTGCCCTCGATAGCATCCAGCCCTTCTTTAACCTACCTCTGCTTCTCTGAAAACCAGAAAGAGTGTGTGTGCCCTCTAACAGCTGCCTGGGGCTTCTTTCGCCTCTCCTGTAAGTTCTCTGTTTTAATTTTACTGTTCTGAATCATCTTCATGGTCGGTGAGAGTTAATTTCATCCACACAACTTTAGATCTGAAGACAAATGGAGACCTATACATTTTCAGGGCCCGGTTGGCATCACAGTTGCGGTAACATCACCACCTGAGATCTTAGTGGGCCTGATGGTCTGCAAAGTGCTCCCACATGCTCCAGCATCCCTGTCCCATCTAATGCTCTCAATAGCCCCAGAAGGGTGGACGGGATTACCTCCTTGATACTGTGAGTTCAGTGAGGCTCTGAGGGGGCTGCTAATTCGCCTAAGTTCCCTCTGTCAGTGAGAGGCATCAGAGGGAAAATGACCCGGAGCTTCGGAATTCCAGTCCTCTGTTCAGTCTCCTGCATCAAACTGCCTCTTTGCCATGTCTCCCTCTTTTGGGGTGGTGGTGTTGGGTGGTGGATTTGCACTGCTTCAGGAGAGCCTGGGAGAGTATACAGCAGGCGCTGCACTTGTTGAGTGAGAGAATGAATGAATAAATATAGCATGAGTCAGTGAATGAATGAATGATTGGATGGATGGATGAATGAGTAAGAACAGAACCTCTCTTCCCCTGAAGATCGGAGGGTGCTGCCAGGATCCACGCAAGCCAGGCTGGATGCGGGGACCACATCTCCACCCCTTCCACCAAAGGAGTGGGGGTTTGGATCATGAAGGGCAGTGATACCCCAGGCCAACTCAAAGCTGTGGAATGAACCTCCCCCTCCATCCCTCACACACATTATTGGGTCCCTGTAAGTGGCACCAGGCATGGAGAGACTAATCAGACATGTCCACTGTCTTTAGGGTACCACAGTCAAATGGGGGGGCAGAAATGGAGACAATGATGACACTGTGGTGTAGAGACAATCCTGTAACAAGGGATGCTGGACACATGGCGTAACATGCCCAGAGGCTCAGAAGAGCCAGCAACTCACTTGCCAGCTCTCACAGGCTGGACGTGGTTTTCAAGGTGAAAAGGAGAGGACGGGCCTGCAGGCTTGGGGGACCACTCAGGGGAAGGCTGGGGCCTTCAAAGAGCACAGAGCAGCTGAGCAGCTTCAAGGGACTCTGGGTGCTGGAGCTGGGAGATTTGGGGCAAATGAGGTGGGAGGGGCAGTCACCAGCCAGCACTTTGTCCACCACAGAGCCTGCCACATGTTCCCCTCTCCATCCCTCTGGCCTTTGCAGTGGCCTTCAGCTGCCCCACAGCCCTGTGTCCTAGGAATGCTGTTGCCATGGCCACCATGGGTCCCGCTTCAAGCCAACTACCAGACTTCTCTGTCCTGAAAACCCTTCTGTGGGTTCCTTCTTCCTTCTACCAATTGTATCCAAACAAAAAGCTACCAAGCTTTTCCTCACCTCATGTGTGACATGCTGCCCACTTTCAACACTGGGCTTGACTGCACTGGGCATCTGATGACAGCCAGGAAGGACTCTCCAAAGTCCCCAGGTCCTTGGGGTCTCTTCTGCCCTCTCTGCTTGGCCCATAGTGCATGCCCTTAGCATCATTTCTCCTCTTCCCTTTCTTCTTGTTTTTAATGAATCCAGAAGGTGGAAGCATCTCATAGATTATTAATGTGCTAAATGGCCCCCCTGGAGACCAGTGCAAAGAAATGGCTCCAACCCGTGCTGGATTACTGGCCTCTATTCTCTTTCTTAGAGAGCAGCAGCAACAGTTTCCAGCTGTGCCTCATCGTACTGCTACTTCCAAATGGTTTCCAATCAAGGCTGCAGGCTCACTTGCGTGCTCTGTGGAAGGGTGTGGCAGTCACATGGGCCAGGTTGTGGCGGGATTCTGGCCTGGGTGGGTTTTGACTGTTGGGGGCTGAGAGGCAGACGTTGTGTGTACTTTGAGCATCTTGCTGAAGAGCCCCCATTCCATCCCTGACTCCTTATTTTCAGAGTCTGCAGTGTCAAAGTAAAAAACCCTGTTGTCCATGCAAAGCTTTAAACTCCAATGGCCGTAATCAGAGATCTGCTTCTAGTAAAGGAGTCCTGGGCATCATAACAGCAGCTACTGGATTACAGTTTATAAAAGCGCTTTCCCTTGGAGAAAAAACAACTGCATAAAACATAGAAGGCAGGTTTGCTATTCCCATTTTACATAACAGGAAAGTGAGGCTAAGGGAGAGAAAATCAGACCATGGCACATGCTGCAAAGTGCTGGAGGGTGAGCCACGGAGCCCAGTGTCGCTGTTACTGTGAGACTTTGGCAAGGCCCCTACCCCATCTGGTCTCTGTTTTTCAGCCTGTACAACAGGGAGACTGGACCTAATGCCTGCTAAGCCTCTACGACCTCTGCCATTCCATGAATCTACCTCAAATTCCACAAGCCACAGCTAAGCAACAAGCAATCTTTTGATTTCTCAGACAGCCTACAGTTTAATAAAATAATCATTTGAGAAAATCATGTCAGATCACAAAATTTCTGTTCCTATGAAACAAAATGGCATTGACTGACCGTTTAGAATGATGCCAGAATTCAGTAAATAGCAAAAGGCCTGATTTGGGGGTTCTCACTGATTTGTTTTTTAAATGTCAAAACCAGGCATGCTTTCGAGTTTTCAGAAATCAAGTCCTAAACGTATTGGGACTCCATTGCCAATACCTCTACACACATAGAGTCAACATCCTCCCATCTGAAAGTCCTCCTTGCCTCCACTCCCTCACATGAACTTCTCCAAGGAGACAGCCCCATGACACAAGCCGAAATGTTCCTTCCCAGGAAGGTCCTCGTGGGGAGTGCCAAGGTGGGCCACAAGGCAGGGTGGGCTGTCGAGGGGCGGCTGGGGACAGCGCTGGGAGAAATGCATCTACAATTTAATAATCTGCCACGGCTGCCTTTTAAAGGACAAGCTCTGTGGGATGCAGTTCTTGAGGAAATAGTGTTTGCGTTTTCCTACGAGCAGCCCTTTATCCCTTTAGGAATCTGACTTTATTTTCATCAGCAAGATGATTTCTGTCTGCAAGCTGAAGCTGCGATAATCTCACTCCCAAGCAGGAAGGAGTGTGGTCCTGGTCTCTGAGGATGTCTAACTCCCTCTTGCTAGCATCTCTTGGACCTTTCCCATGCTCTGTCTCCATCTTCCCCACCCAGCTCCAAATTCTCCTGGTTTTTCCCAGGCCCCATGCTTTCAGGACAAACCAGGCTGGTGGGAGATCTGCAGGACTGCCCCAAAAACTGCAAACACAAGCCACCCTTAGGTCTCTGAGGACAGGATTCTGGGTGGGACTGAAAAAAACTGCAAAGGAAACTTATCAGTTAGAAAACCAGGGGGCGGGGGTTCCTGAGATGGGAGATGCGGGCTGAGGCTGAGCCCAAGGCTGTGTTAGGGCTCCCTCTGTGTCCGTTTAACAAGAGGCTGCAGCTGGAGAGTCCTTGGGTGACTTTAGGTCTGGCACACTCTGATGACGTGCCCTTGGTTGTTAGGGGACCAACCCAAGGCCTAGAAGGCAGGCACCTGGCTCTCCGTCAGCAAATACGCCCTGAGCACTGCTCTGGCATCACTGCCAGGCCTGTACCAGGCCGAGGGGCAGGGTGAATGAGACACAATTCTAACCTCAGGCAGCTGCAGGCCGGGGGTGGGCAGACATAGCAAACACCCTGGGAGGGATGTGCAGGTCAGGTCAGGAAGCACAGGGGAGGCCATGGGGGGCTTTGCAAAGAAGGGACACCCAAGCTGCACCAGGAAGAATGAGCATAGTCCTGCCAGCAGCCTGTACTGAGGCTGGCAGCATGAAGGGGCAGGAGGTGGGCTGGGAAAACGGCAAGGTGATGGTGCACTCCATGGACTGTGCCCCACCATGGACTGTGAGCTTCATCCTAGCGGCACTGGGATACTTGCCCTGGCAGCATCCCCCTGTGACCGCCTCCATGTCCTCTTTCCCACACGGGCAGCATCAGTTGGAGTTTTTTGGACCAGCAGCATTTGTTAAAGAGCCCAGGTGTCTGGGGGATGAACAGGCCTTAGAGAGCTCCTGGCCTGGCAAGTCTCCAGGGGCCAACAGCATCACAGTCACCTGAGCCACTGGTACTGAAATGGCTGTGGTTTTGATCAGCGGGGAATACAGTCCTAGAGGGATCTGATAAATCCCCTAACCTAGACCTGCTCAGAGTGGAGCCCTAGAATTTGCACTGTTACCAAGAACCCCCGTAAGTGACTCTTCCCATATAGTTGGAGAGCCACTGACCTGGTCTATGCCTACTCTGTGTATTAAATTTCCCCAACAGCAGGCCTGGCTGAAACTGGACTTCTCAGGGAACCTTGGCCCACAGGGAACTCATGACTTCACAGCCAGGCAGCGTGCTCCATGCTGGAAGCTTCCAGAGGCAGGGCTTGCTTGCAGGAGGTGGAAACGCTGCTCCCTGATAACTTTGGCCGTGGCTCCTGCTTCTCCCCACTTGCACCAGAGACCAGCAAAATCTATCAAAGACAGCCATGCAATGCTGGAGGCCTGGACTCCTCCCTCCTCCCCAGTGCCCCATGTGCTCTCCAGGCTGAACACCCTCAGCTCTCCAATGTCTAGACCTTGACCCTTCCCTGATGCTTTCCTGGGTCATGCCCTAGTGGGTTCCTCCCAGCATGAGGCCCAGATCAGAGCCCTGCACCCTGAGCAGGCTCTGACAGTTTGGAGAGGGACAGAACCAATCTCACCTGCATGTCAGACCCTGGACTCTATGAAGGTCCTTGCATATAGAGGGAGAAACAGGTTCCCAGTGGCTAAGTGACTCACATCACGACTAAAACAATATTAGCCTCTCTATGCAGCAGCTATGAATCAAGAGGCCCAGCAAAAGGCAAAAGTTAAATTTAACCCGTTTCAGCACCAGGGTGAATTTTCACCCCTCTGGTGTGTGAATCCCTATTTTTGTGACACAAGGAAACAGAAACAACTGATTACGCATTCCTGGCTGTCTCTGTCCAGCAAGCATTGCTCCTCCAAAAAGGGCCGCCAGAGCTCCTTTTCAATTACACAAATTCCATGCAGTTTTCCATTTGTGAAGCTCTGTTTTGAAGCCCAGTCTTGAGTAAGTTAAGAGATTTATCAAATCCCTTGGGCACCTGTAGACCCACCCATCCACCCCTTCACCATCTCTGGAAACAAGCTTAGCCTCCCTGTGTTGGGGTTGGGGTGGCTTGGGAGGTCCACAGAGTCTGGCTTATAATAAATGGGTCTAGGTTTCCTGAGAGTGAGAAGGAGGCAGGAATCCAGGCTCCCAGGCTACTCCCAGATCAAGATCCTGATCTTTGTTCTTATATCTTCCTTGCCTGGCTGCACAAGCCTGGGAGAAATCCACTCTCTTGGGCTCATCTACCATTCTGCCTCCCAGGTCCTCAGAGAAGTCCAAACTGTTGAGTACCCTCCAGTTCCAAGCCCCCCCAGCATGCCCCATCCACGTCCAGTTGCAGCCGTTGATCCAGCCCCAGTGTCTAGTAGTGAATGCTAGGGCAGTATTGTCTGGGTGTGAGCATCTTCCCCCACAAGGAGCCTGGGAAAATGCAGAGCGATTCTGTGGAGGTGGAGGCTGAGATTCTGCATGGTCCACCGCCCTCCCTGCCCTACAGTCAGGGCCACACTGTGAGAGGCTCCGCCATGCAGCATCTCAGGCCCCTCCGTCCACCTATCCTCTGCACTTAGCACATTTCAGTACTCAGTGAGGACCTACTGTGAGCCCAGACCCTGCGCCAGACACTGGGAACCAGGAGATGAAGGAAGGGGTGGGGAAGGGCTGCCCCCAAGAAGCTCACAATCTGATATGGAAGACTGGCATATAGAACAAATTATTTTTCACAACACTTATTATTTTTTTTAATAGAGGCAGGGTATCGCTTTTTCGCCCAGGCAGGAGTGCAGTGGCATGATCATAGCTCACTACAGCCTTGAATTCCTAGGCTTGAGCAATCCACCCACTTCAGCCTCTCAAGTTCCTGGGACCACAGGAGTGTGCCACCACACCCGGCTAAATTTTATAATTTTTTGTAGAGATGAGGTCTCACTATGTTCCCCAGGCTGGCCTCAAACCCCTGGCTTAAAGCCATCCTCCTGCCTTGGCCTCCCAAAGCACTGGAATTACAGGCATGAGCAACCATGCCCAGCCCATTTTTTAAATTTTATTTTTGTTAATTGAGGTAAAATATACATATAAAATTTACCATCTTTACCAATTTTAAGTGTACAATTCATTGACATGAAATTTATTTAATAAGAGAATACTGTACACAATATAGAAGGATGTAGAACAGTGTTTCTCAACCTTCGTTTCACTGTTAGTCTCCTAAGAAGTCTTTCTGGCTGTTTTTTCCTACTCTTGCCCCCTGGTGAAATTGTAATACCACAGGCATGCATAGATCTGTTTGTGTACTACATCTATATCTATGCTTTATACATTAAAAAAGTAAGATTTTTTTTGCCTCGCCACAAGAACCAATGTTTACTCCCTTGGAGAAGATATCACCCCCTATTGGGAATGCAGGGTGTAGCGGAGGAAGAAATAATTAATTTACTTTTTGAGCGGGGAATGGGCGGCACTGAAGGAAAGGGGGAAAAGAAGGAGATCAGGGAAGGCATCACAGAGGAAGTGGTATCCGGGGTTTTGAAGGATGAGCAGGAGTTCTGCAAAACAGGGCAGGGCCTCAGCATCAAGTGCCCCTTGCTGGGCAACTGGAGTTCCTGCCTTCCTCCAGACATTAGTCACTATAGTATCCAGTCTCCAAGCTAGCACCCAGTGAGCTTACCTCCCACTACACCTTGGTACTATTCCTCTCTAAATAAGAGCTAATTTGTGTGATCCACAGATTTCAGCAGAACTTATAGTATGCAATTTCCAAAGCTAAGTCCCAAAAGACTTTGTCACCTCTGCCTTGGTCTTTTCGTGACTCACTTTGGGGGATGCCAGCTGCCTTGTCATGAGGACACTCAGGCAGCCCTATGGAGACCTCCACATGGAGAGGAGCCACACTGGAAGCAGATCCTTCGGCCCTAATCAAGCCTTCAGATGATGCCAGCCCCCAGCCTTCAAATCCTCCAGCTGGGCCCCAAACACCATGGAGCAAACACAAGCCATTCAGTGTGTCTGAATTCCTGAACCAGAGAAATAATGAAATAATACATAATATTGCTGTTTTAAGACACTAAATTTGGGGGGATTTGTTACCCAGTGGTAAATAACTAACACAGTCCCCATCTTGTAACCCAGTTCTATGTCTTATCATCTCCTCTAGGTTGGAGGGCTGTCCTGCTCATGGAGAGGCCAGGTAGCTGTGGTCTGCAAGCTGGGAGTTTCCAACGTTGTGCTTGTTCCTGCAGCTCCTCAGGGAATTCTGAGGGACAGGTGGTTCCAAGTGACACTGAGAATCAGTGGAATCAGCTGGATTCCTCTCTGGGCAGGGGATTTCCCTGGGACCTCAGCCTCTCATGCCTGGACAAAGCGTCCATCTTCAGATCCTTCCATCCCTTCCCACCTCCCTCCATCCCTCTGATCATTGAGCAGATTTCTAATGAAGACTGTGAAATGATAGGCACAGGGAAAAAGAAAAGTCCAGGTTCTGTCCTTAAGAAGCTCACAGCCCAGCTGGAGAGACAAACATTTATAAACACCACCACCCCCCCCCAAATCTGCAAAACCCTAAGAGAGAGACAGGCAGAGTGGAGTGGGACACTGGGCTGTGCACAAGCTCTGCTAGAATTAAACAAGGGGAAGTGATAGGCTTTCTAGGGCCCTACTTTAGCAGCCCCCTAGGAGCAGGCAGGAAAGGCTTCCTGAAGGAGGCAGCATTTAAGCTGGGTCTTAAAGAATGGGCAGCACTTGATACACTGGGTATAGGAAGAATGGGATGTTTTGGGTGGTAGGAACAGTGTAAGAAAAGGTGGGAATGCAAGAAAGACCAGGAATGACAAGTAATCAGGGGACTCAACTTGGGGAGTGGGAGGAGACAGGGCAGGACTAACCACAAAGAACACTTAGTTAGCACTAACTGTGTGCCAGACACAGCTCTAATCCTTTTTCAGTCTTTCCATCCACACAACAAACCAATGAAAGCAGTCCTATTACTACCTTGATTATGCAGATGATGAAACTGAGGCTCAGGGAGGCAGCACATGGCTCTAACTAATAGAGAATGTGCTCCTCAATGTTCAGGAAAGCAAGCTCAAGCCCAGAGAATCTAAGTGACTGGTCCAAGGTCTCCACAGCTGTCCTGGGCACCCTGAGGGCATGAGGCCAGGCTCCCACGGCACACTGAGCCATGCTGGCTTTCAGGTGTGTGGTTAGGTTTGTGGTTAGGTTTGCACCAGAGCACATGGCTGCTTTTCTGGTCTCCTCTTCCTGTTGCATCCACCCACAATCAGTGTGGCCTGCTCCGGCCACAAGGAATGACTCAGCACTCCCCAAGCCCACATACTTTCCCACCTCCCGCTTTTGCACGCCCAGTTTCCTCTGCAGCGGCGCTCTCCCCCATGTCTCCAGCTGTCCAACGCCCTCTCCTCCTTCAGCAGCCAGCTTCATGCACCTACCATAGCACCTGCCCTGGGGCTTCCTTGACCCGGGGCTAAGTGAGGGGCCCTCGCCCGGGCCCCACCTCTCTTTCATCACACCTGCCATAGCTTGTGCCCACCACCCCTCGTGGCTGCAAGCTTGGGCTCCACCCCAGCACCCCATGCATGCAGCACCAGACACAGAGGAAGTCCTCAGCCAGTGCAAGTGGAATGAAACAGATCCTCTATGTGGTCAGGCTCCTGCTCACCCTGTCACTCACTCTCTTCACCCTGGCTCCCCACCCATCATGCTCCAGCCCCATTTCCCTGTTTTCTGTTCCACGAATACACCAGGTCCTTTCCTATCACAAGCTGCCTTCCTCCGTTTACTATTCCATTCACTGACATGGAATGCGCTTCACCCAGTGGTCTCCTTCTCACCCTTTGGGTCTCAGCTTGAATGTCACCTCCTCCAAGAGACCTTTTCTGACTACCCCAAGGCAGTCACTATATATCTCATCACCCTGTTTCCTTCTGTCATCGCCAAGTTTCCTTACTACAGTCTTATCTTAAGGGCCAGACTGCTTGAGTTAAAATCCTGGCCCTACTACTTACTAGCTGTGAGTCCTTGTGCAAGTTAGATAGCTTTTCTGTGCCTCAGTTCCATTATCTATAAAATGGGGATAAGGTACCTAAAGCATAGAGTGGATTTAAAAATTAAAAGAGTTCACGCAGAAAAATACTAAGAACAGTGTCTAGCACATGGCAGACCCTCCATATACAACCTTAATAATATTATTATTTAATTACTTACTTGCTTCTTGCCTGTCTTCCTCCTAGAATGTAAGCTCCAGAATAATGTGAACCATACCTATCCTGTTCAGCATTGTATCCCCAGTGTGCCTACCAAAATCCAGGCACAGAGTAAGTTGCCTAAAATATTTGTTGGATGGATGGATGGATGGATGGATGGATGGATGGATGGATGGATGGATAGGTGAATGGGTGGGTGGATGTATGGATGGATGGATGTATGGGTGGATGGATGGATGGATGGACAGACGGATGGAAAGATGGATGGATAGGTGGATGGATGGATGGACAGATGGATGGATGGATAGGTGAATGTGTGGATGGATGGATAGCTGAACGGGTGGATGGGTGGATGCATGGATGGATGGATGGATGGATGGATGGTTAGGCGAATGGATGGGTGAACATATGGATGGATGGATAGGTGAATGGATGGATGGATGGATGGATGGATGGAGCAAAAAAGTAAACATGTGTATGGGCCACCACTCACCCCTGGTGGTCATATAGTTCTACACTCTTCTTTCCCATCCCAAATAACAGCTAACACTGGAAAGTCTCACCTACAATAGACTGTATATATGTTGGTGGAGCATTCAATGATGTATAAAATCTGCCAGGGCAAAGAGTGAATAATTGGCAAGGAGACCAGGAAAGACTTAACCGAGGACAAAGGCAGTCGTAGATAACAAAAGAGAATCTCAGTGGGAAAGGGAGACTTGGCAGAGAATTGATGAGGAGTCATCTGGTTAAGGGAACGGTGAGAGCAGGGCTCTGAGGCCCAAAGGTCCAGGGCGCATGTGTGGAAAGGCAGGGTGTCTGGCAAGGCTGTGCTGTGGAGCAAGTGGAAGGAGCAGGAGATAACACTGGGCAGGCAGGTTGGACTGGCATCAGTGGCTCTGAAAGCTGGGCTAGGGAGTCAGTGGTGAGCCCTGAAGCCTTCAAATACATGGTGATAGCATCAGGGCTGCCCTTTAGAGACCTACTGTGGGGGCCATGCCAAGTCAGGCCAGCAGTGAAAGGCTGTGCTATCACCCAGGAGAAAGTCCAGGAGGCCTGACCCAGGCAACATAGAAACCACATTGTACAAGGAATAATTCCTGCAAAAGACTGAGGGCCAACCAAAGACACCTCCCCACAAAAGAAGGTAGCTCAGACCTTACCTGCACCAGATTCCAGCCTTGGAGGGACTCTGCAATGATGGATGTGACGGATGGACAGACGCCTCCAAACACCATCAAGTGGTTAGGCCCGTATTTTATTGCATCGTAGAAGGCTTTCAACCCTTTTGCGTTGTCGCACTGGGAAGCAACACATAGAAAGAAAGGTCCAAATTAGAAACAGCTTTTCCCCAGGGGCATGAGCCCAACAAACAAATCTTTCCTCATGGAAACCTTCTGGGTTTCAGTTCTCCCATGGTGGGGAGTCTCCTTAAGCCAGCCCTGAGTCCACGCTGTAAGCTCCAGGAGTGTGGTCTTGGCACCCACTATCCTGTCTCTGCTCCCGCTAAGTGCCCTCCAAATCTAGGACCTCTCTCCAGCACCCCAGCTATCTCCCTTTAGAGCACACTTAGGAAAAGTCCCATAATGCCTCGCCCTGGGATCTCACTTTTTCATGGCCATTTATATTTTAAGGATGATCCCACACTCATTAAAATGGCTATCATTAAAAAAACACACAGAAAACAACAAGTATTGGCAAGGGTGTGGAGAAACTGGAACTGCTGTGCCCTATTAGTGGGAATGTAAGATGGTGCAGCTGCTGTGGAAACAGTATAGTGGTTCCTGGAGAAGTTAAACACAGAATTGCCATATGATCTAGCAATTCCACCTCTAGACGTATACCCAAAACAACCGAAGGCAGGGACTTGAAGAGATAGTTGTACACCCATGTTCATAGCAGTATCATTCATGATAGCCAACAGATGGAAACAACATGAATGCCCATCAACAGGTGAATGGATAATGGAACAGTAGTGTATCCATGCAGTGGAATATTTCCAGCCTGGAAAAGGAAGGAAATTCGGACACACGCTACAACGTGGATGAACCTTGAGGACATTATGCTAAATAGAATAAGCCATACAAAAAGACAGCTATTATATGATCCCACTCATATGAGGTTATCTACAGTAGTTAAATTCATAGAGAAAGAAAGTAGAAATGGTGGTTGCCCGGGGCTGGGGGGAGCAGGGAAGGGGTCTTCATTGTTTGACAGGCTCAGAGTTTCAGTGGGGATGATGGAAGTGTGTTGGAGGTGGATGATGGTGATGGTAGCTCAGCAATGTAGATGTACTTAATGCCACTGAACTGTACACATAAAAATGGTTAAAATGGCAAATTTTAGGTTATGTATATTTTTACCACAGTCTTAAAAAAATGATGATGAGGATAAATCTAAAGAGAAGATTCATTCAGCAAACACTTGCCAAGGACTACTCTGTGTTCAGTCCAGGGCTGGACGTTGAGGAAACATAAAAATTGGATGCAGCCCCTGCCAAGGAGCTTCCGTATTAGAGAGAAAAGTTGGCCAAGGAAACAGTTCACGGCGACCCAGCATAGGAATGGAAAGAGGCCAGGGGCCCACGACGAGTATCAGGATTCAGTTCTGGCTCACTCAGCGCCTTTCCATCCCCACCTCCCTCAGTCAAACCCTGTGGTCATCTCTCCCCTGGACAGTGGCTTTGGCTTCTACTGGGTGTCTTACCTCCCCATGGGCAAGTTCAACCCCTCCACCATCTAGCTGTCTGAGGGTCCTTTGTCAAACATCAATGAATTCTTCTCACTCTTCCTGCTTTCCATGCACTTAAAACCCAAACTCCTATCACAATATAACTCTCAAAAGGTTAAAAACATAATTCTCATGAAAATCGATAGTGAACACATGTCAAAGTTTTATTTAACTCATTAATAAGGAGATCTGCAGGATGGCAAAGTGGATTCAAAAGAGAATTTAAGGAACCGGGACTGAAAAAAGGAATAAGATAAGAGTGCCAAATTAGATACAAAACTGGTTAATGTCCTACAGGGCAATAAAACCACAACCTTTGGGGATAGAAAGAAAATCACTGAAAATCAGCATATCTTATCTGTTTTAGAGGATTGCAAAATGTTTAGGTCTTAATTGATTGAGCAAAGTTCTATTCCCGCAGTCAGATGACCCTTAGGCAGGACTGTTGGAAAATGCTCTAAGTATGAGGGTAAAGGGTCACAGAATCACATCTTTGTACTATGTACAGGTTTGGGGTCATTTTCTTAAGACTCCTTATCACAATGGAAGCCACTCAGTCCAGCTGCTGACTCCCAATCTGGCCTGAGTTCCCTTTTCTCTTCCCTTTGCTCACCAAGTGAAGCCCTACCAACCTCCTTCCAGTTCCCTGAAATCAAAAGCATTTTCCTTCCCACCTCTGGGCCTTTGCACTTGCTGTTTTCTCTGCTGGGAACACAATTTCCTTGGTTCTCAGCATGGCTCACTCCTTCCCATCAATCAGGTCACCCTCCCCAAAATATTTCCCACCCCCATTCCCTCCCTGACATGCCACCCTATTTAATGCCCTAACATAGTTCCTAAAATTATCTGAAATCATCTTGTCTACTTTTTGTTCACTTGTAGATTGACTGATTTCCTAACTAGAATGAAAGCCCCAGGTGGGCAAGGATTTTGTCATCGTTTTCACTGCTGTCTCCCCAGAGCTTGGAGAGGGGCCTCAGTAAAGATTCAGTAAGATCTGTTGGGGCCAGGCGCGAAGGCTCACGCCCGTAATCCTAGCACTTTGGGAGGCTGAGGCAGGCAGATCAGTTGAGGTCAGGAGTTTGAGAACAGCCTGGACAACATGGCGAAACCCCGTCTCTATTAAAAATACAAAAATTAGCCAGGCATGGTGGCATGCACCTGTAAACCCGGCTACTCAGAAGGCTGAGGCAGGAGAATCGCTTGAACCTGGGAGGCGGAGGTTGCAGTGAGCCGAGATCGCGCCCTGCACTCCAGCTTGACAGAGCAAGGCTCCATCTCAAAACAAAACAAACAAATCTGTTGGACACTCTCCCTTCATCTGCTCTCCTCCTCCTTGCTCTACACTTCCACGTTCTCTCCTTATTTTTGTCTTTCTCTCCATTCTGTGTCCTCCTCATTTTTTTCTGCTTGTTCTCCACCTTCCCCTTAAGTGACCGCTATATGGGAGCAGAGTGAACTAGGATTTCTTGCTCCCTCTTCATTTATTTGAGAAACTCCTCTGATCTGTGACCCATGTCTGTGCCAACAGGGACAGAGGACTCAGTCCGACATGGTTCCTGGGCCTCGGGGAGCTCACCGATGGTGGAGGCAGTGAGGCCGGGGCACGCAGTCACCTCCCGTGGGGGATGGTGGCTGGTGCTGTGGGACAGAGGCAGATCCAGGCTGTGGGCACTGCAGGGAAAGCCAGGGAGGGCTCTGGAAGAGGGAACACTTGAGACGGGAATCGTAGGCGGAAAAGCAGCACGAATACAGGCAAGGAGGTGGAAAAGTGAGACGGGAACAGAAACAACCCAGCTTGCTTCAACAGTGAGTGACAAGGATGAGGTGGCCAGGGAGAAGGCTTAGAGCTCTCAACATCAGGGTAGGGAGTTTGAATACTACAGATTTTCGGTAAATAATTCAATTTAAAATTTTTAATTTAATTTAAAAACTGGCCAAGTTAATTTATTTCCCCAAGAAAGAAAGAGAGAAAGGAAGGAGGAAAGGAAGGAAGAGAGGGAGGGAGGGAGGGAGGGAGACAGGGAGGGAGGGAGGAAAGATTAAGTTCTTACTGCTTCTGGGGCCCTCTATTAATTATCCCTGTTCCTTGATTGAAAGCAACACTTCTCACCCCCAACAGAGCACGAGCAGATAATAACAGAGTAGTTCATGTTTTAATTGTTTCTACCATGATTTTTTTTTTTGGAATCTACCATGATTTACTGAATCATTTATAGTTTTAATACATTTCTGTAATGACTTTGGCTTTTTTTCTAATCTGTAGCTAATGACAACGATACTACAGTACCACAGGATTTATAATCAAAGTTGCATTAAATAATATTAGCAACAATGAATTTATTAATACATGCTTGCTTAGCAAACACTTTCTGAATATCCAGCCCATGCAAGATTCTGTATTAGTAATGATGTCACGGCTTCTCACAAATACAAAACACTGGGATATGTCAACTAAAATATCTGAGACTATTTGACAACCAGTATTGGAGCTGGAGAATCTTACAACGTTCCCAAATATTTATCTGACTGAATTTTCACCAGAGTGGGTGTGGCGGGCAAAGTTTTGGCCCCATTGACCTTCACCCCTTGGAATTACCTCCATGAATATTTTATGTTACATGGCAAAAGGGACTTTGTAGATGTCATGAAGGTTACTAATCAGTTGACCTTAAATTATGATACAGGTAAGCCCAGTGTAGTCACATAAGTCCTTAAAAGCAGATCTTTCTTTACCTAATAGCAGAGGGGAGATCAGAGATTGGAAGCATGAGATGGATTTGATATGCCATTGTTGGTTTGAAGATGAAGAGGTCCACGTGTCAAGAAAGCAGGGACCTCTGTTCTACAATTGCAAGAAACTGAACTCTGCCAATAACCAGAATGAGCCTGGAAGCAAATCTTCCCCAGTTGAGCCTCCAGATACGAACCCAGCCCAGATGACACTTTGATTTTGGTCATATGAAGCCCTGAGCAAGGGACCCAGGGGAGCCACACTGTGTCCAGACTTCTGGCATAGAACTGTCAGACAATAAATAGGTGTGGTTTACATCACCAAATTTGTGGTGATCAGTTACAGCAGCATAGAAAGCAAATACACTCAGGTAAAATGTGAAAAATAAGAATGACACAGTATGGTTTTCCTTAAAGTTAATTCCATTTGAAAAATGATCCTTAATTTACAGACAAGGTCCTTTGTAGTTGAATGGTGTTGAAATATTTTTCTGTTACAAAAGGATAGAAATGAGAGAGGTCTTGTTTTTAATGTCCTGACATGATAAAATAGAAAAAATTTTCACACTATGTAAGTTTCTGTTCCACGGCCCTCCCCTTCTTGGTGTGTGAAATCCCAACATCTAGGCATTGCTAATCTAGCCCCACACTCTCATTTTCAGATGCAGAGACTGAGGACTAGAGAGAAGGGATTTGTCCACTGTCTTGCCAGGATTAGGAGAGGGATTTCTGGATTCCCAGTCTCTCAGCATTCCAATAGTCTAGAGACTCAACCGAAGAGAAGGTTAAAGCTAACAGCATTCTAGAAAAAAAGACCATTTCCCCCAGGATAATGCCGCAAGCCCAGGTCTCCTCCAGATCAGAGCTCTTGGCTAAAAGCAAGAGAAACAACGTACTGGGCACCAAGCATGCTTCCCTGGCTCCCCTAAAGGGAGCAACTTTGCAGTGAATAACAAAATAAATCACATGGATATATCTGTCCCATTTTCGATGCTATTTTCCCTTATCCTAATTTCTAATGCTGTGTCTTCTTACCTGACATGATTCGCGTCCCAAATAGATGGACTTTCCAGCTCACCAAAGGTGAATTTTGGGGGCTGGATCAGCTTAGAGTTTTTTACAGTCAGCCCCTCAGGGGCGTAAAGCCCAGCAGATAGGGCAGTGAAAGAAGCACTGAGCTCCTCACCTTCACTTCAACCAGCAGCTCCTCTCCCAACTGCCTCAGCTGCAGCATCAGAGCTCCACAGAACACTTAATTTTAAAGCAGGCTTCATTGCTAGCAGCAAAAATGTTTGAAAACCACCAATATGACCCTGGAGGTCCTTACAGAGTATAGTGTTTGTCTCTGGCCTCAGGAAGGGTGGGTGAATGTCTCATAAGCAAGGCGTTTTGGCATATACGCTATAGGCTACTCACTCCAAGTTAATCCACTGTGCATGAATGTACCTGATGATCAAGTCACCAAATCACTGGGGAACTTCTCTAGGTTTTAGTTTCCTGAAGGACTCCTTGCAGACACATTGCCACAGCCATTTCACAGGATCTGTCCTTCCAGCTCAGGTGAAAGTCAATGTTATGCGTATTTCACATTTTCCCTTCTCAAATGCTGCACGTGAAGATGTCCCCCTAAAGGGCTGTTGATTACCCTTCTTTTCCTGTGGACCAGCCCTGGCCTGAGCCAGGAACATGCCAGAAGCTTTTCAATACCCCATTTAAGTTGTCTGTCTGACAGCTTTTAGTGAGATGTTCACTGGGCAAAACCATCATTCTGAGAAGTTATTTACAGCAAGTTGTCTTTCTGTGATTTGGTTTTTGATGAATTGCTCTCAGAGCCACTCTAAGTGGGGGTCTGTGTCCTGGAAGAAAGCTATGGGCTTTATCATGCTCTCCTTTCCCCCCACCACACCTCCCCCACCGGAAACCCCACTCACTTCTAGAGGATATTCTGACTGGTTGGCATGGCCACAACTTGACCAGCAGGCAGGAAGTAATTAATCACAGTTCAAACTGTCATGCAATAACTCAAAGCTTCATGACTGGCCTAGCCTCTGTCTTCAGTCTTGCCACCTGGAGATTGGCTCTAGCACATAGTAGGTGCTCAATAAATGCTGCCTTCCCTCCCTCCCTCTTCTCTCTGGTATTTGTTATTACCTTCCTTTGACTCCTCCTCTACTGTAGCTCATGGTCACCACCTCACATCTCCTGTCTGCTGTTCCACTGCCAAGGGCTTCTCCTTCCCTATAAGGACTTGTCACAGAGAAATCACCATTGGCACATATAGGCTCTTAAAATTCAGCACTTAAACATGGGAACAGATCCAAAAGCCATGAAAATCAATTTTCAAATGAAAAAGTGAGGCTCCAGATGAAATCCATTTTCATTTAAATCTCATTTTTAAAGAATTAAAATACTTTTTTGATTTAAAAATTTCAAAGAAAATGTTGCTGAGAGTTAAAATGTAAAAATGCCAAGAAAATGTCAGAGTTAATAACAACCCATCTGAAACTGGGAATTACTCCATGCAGAATTTCAGAATGGAAAGAGAATTTAAAAGCTAATGTGTCCAACCTGCCCCCGTTAGAAAGTCCCCTCTGGGTCTCCCACGCAGGAGCACTCAGTATCTGCTCACGTCTGTCCGTCCAGTGCCAGGGGTCTCACTCTCTCACTAGGGAGCTAATTTGTCCTCGGCCAGCTCTGCTTCTTAGAAAATTCTTCCTATCATTGGCCTGGAAATCAGATAGCTAAGCTCCGCAGAGTGACTCCGAGAGATGTCTTCAGGCTAAACTACCCTTAGCACTTCCAATCATCCCCATACAGGATAGTTTTACAGCCTGCTTATCTACGAGTCATTTCACAAACAGCCTTTGGAGGACAGATTTTTTGGGCATGTAGCACCTAGAATGGTCCCCCAAATACCTCCATCTACCCTGCCCAGAAAAGCGACACTAGCTAACGTATACTGTGCCCTCAGCACTATTCACAATTAGCAAAGACTTGGAACCAACCTAAATGTCCAACAACGATAGACTGGATTAAGAAAATGTGGCACATATACACCATGGAATACTATGCAGCCATAAAAAATGATGAGTTCATGTCCTTTGTAGGGACATGGATGAAGCTGGAAACCATCATTCTCAGCAAACTATCGCAAGGACAAAAAACCAAACACCACATGTTCTCACTCATAGGTGGGAATTGAACAATGAGAACACATGGACACAGGAAGGGGAACATCACACACCGGGGACTGGCGTAGGGTGGGGGGAGTGGGGAGGGATAGCATTAGGAGATATACCTAATGCTAAATGATGAGTTAATGGGTGCAGCACACCAACATGGCACACGTATACATATGTAACAAACCTGCACGTTGTGCACATGTACCCTAAAACTTAAAGTATAATAATAATAAAATTAAAAAAATATATATGTGTTAGGCACAGTACTAAGAACTTGATGTCAAGGATCTTATTCATGCCTCTCAATATTATTAAAAGGTATAGGCTGAGTATCCCTAATTCAAAAATCTGAAATCCAAAATGCTCCAAAATCCAAAACTTTTTGAGCACAAATATGACACTCAATAAAAATGTTCACTGGAGCATTTTGGATTTTGAATATTTGGATTTGGGATGTTCAGTCTTTAAATATAATGCAGCTATTTCAAAATCTGAAAAACCCCAAAATCTGAAACATTTCTAGACCCAAGTATTTTGGATAAGGGGTACTCAACCTGTACTGTTATTTCCCTTTTACAGATAAGGAATTTGAGGCTCAGAAATAATAACTTGCCCAATTTCAGGTAGTCTAACTTCAGAGCACGGTTTCATTTTAAATAAGAATGTGCTGTGAAATATTTCACTCACAGAAAATATTCCATATACAATAACTTAAGTATGAAAAATAGTAATGCGAACAGACAGTATATCCAGCATCACAGCTATGTTGAAGACCTCTGCGCCCACACCTGCACATAGCCCTCCTTTACCCAGGGGGAGCCCCAGGCCTGAATTTTGCATTTATCCTTCTTTTCTTCTCTTTTCTTTCTTTTTTTTTTTTTTTTTTGTTTGTTTGTTTTTTTAGACAGACTCTCAGTCTGTCACCTAGGTTGGAGTGCAATGGCATGATCTTGGCTCACTGCAACTTCTGCCTCCCAGGTTCAAGTGATTCTCCTACCTCAACCTCTTGAGTAGATGGGATCACAGGCACATGCCACTGTGCCCAGCTAACTTTCGTATTTTTAGTAGAGACGAGGTTCTGCCATGTTGACCAGGCTGGTCTTGAACTCCTGACCTCAAGTGATCCACCCGCCTTGGCCTCCCAAAGTGCTGGGATTATAGAAGTGAGCCACCGTGCCAGCCCCTTCTTTGCTTTTCTTTACAGTTTTATATGTACATGTTTCTTAAACACTGTATCATTTAATTTTACTCATTTCCGAACATACATATAAGTGGAATTGTGTTATACATTTCACCTGAAACTTGCCCTTATGGCTCCACATTATGTTTGTGAGATTTTTGCCGCTGAATATAGCTGTGGTTCATTCATTTTCATAGCTGTGTAATATGCCATTGTGTGAATATGCCACCGTTTGTTTGTTCATTCCTCTGCCAGTGGACCCTTGGGCTGTTTCCAGCATTGTGTTTGGTTGCTGCTGTAAGCAAGATGGTCGAATATTTGCATACGCGCCTCCTTGCACACATATGAAGAGTTTCTCTAGGGTATAAACCTGGAAATTGAATTGTTGAATCATAGCGTTTGCTGCATGTTCTCTAAGTGGTTTGATCCATTTACACTCCCAACAGCAGTGTTTTAGAGATCTCACTGCTCCATATCCTTGCCAGCTTTAATTTTTGCCAGTCTTGTGGGTATTTGATATCACATTTCAATTTGTATGTTCCTGATTACTAAAGAGGTTAAGCCATCTTTTCATATGCTTATAGCCTGTGTTTCCTCTTTTGGACTGGTAACTTTGCCCATTTTTCTACTGGGTTGTCTTTTCCTTATTGATTTGTTCAGAGCACTCCCAGCCACAATGCCAAGCTGAATGAAACAATCACCTCCCGCATTCTGAGTATTGACTTCTGTTAATGCGGCTTCAGTCTGCACACCTTCTATTGGGCTCCTACATCATACAGAGCTTGCTGTCAGTAAAAACTACTAAATCAGCACCTATTATCTTGGGTAGCAAAACACCGACAATCCTTCCTTGGTGCCCAGGGGAGAAAAAACCTACTGGATAAAATCCAGCCAACCAAAAGATGAATCAAAAATATAAATCTCAGGAATGGAGGAGGACTTGTGGTAAAAAAGGAGTGATAGTGAGAGCCAGACCCATTTAACATGAAACAACTGGCAATGTGAAGATAATAATGGAACATAAAATGCAGGAGGCAGAAGAGGGAAGAGAAGTTGTAAGATTGTTAATTTCCTCTTCTTCCATAGAAGGGCTTTAATCAATACCATCTAAAATTGAAAACTGTAGTTTAAAAGCCAGGATTTTAACCTCACTGCTTTTCATAATCTTTTATTACCCTTGGAGAGACATTTTGGAAACAAATATTTTCTGTAGCAAAGGCAAAATTGTTTAATGGTGAGCAATTCCTTCTATTTTACTTTTCCTCATTTTCTTCTGTTATATGCAAATAAATAAAATTCAACAACGATCTAAAGTAGGATGTAATAATGATCTCATTTTATAAAATTATTTCTTTATAATATATGCATAGAGAGATGTCTGGAATGAGAATCATCGAATGTTAAAGGTTATGAGATTTCAGTGGTTTTTTGTTACTTGCTTCTTTTACTTAAATAAAAAAAATACAGATTACTTTTATAAAGACAGAAAGTCATTTTTAAACTGGTAAGCTTTCCACACCCAGGGTGCTTTCTCAATCACTGAAGTTTCCCTCTTTCTGTTCATCTGTGGGTGATTTTCTGAACCTAAGAACAGACTTTAACATTTATCATTGCTAAATCATGTTCAAAATTAGCCCAGCACCATATCCAACTGAATTAAATATACACTATATTGTTTTGTCATTGCAACTAATTCATTGAAACATTTTCAGTCACCTACTAAGTACTAGGAGCTGTCCAGGAAACAGTAAGTTCATGTGACCTCTAAAAATTCTTTGAACAGAACAGGTACCCAAGAAACATTTACTGAAGTGTTAAATTTAGAAACAAGAATAGTAATAATAATAACACAGTGAGCCCTTACATAGCATTTGCCTGTGCCAGGCACTATTCTAATTGCTGTATATACACTAACTCACTTAATCCTCCCAACAACCCTATGAACCATGTCCCATTATTATCCACATTTTAATAGATGAAAAAACTGAGGATCAGAGAGGTGAGTAATTTGCCCCAAGTTGCACACAGTGAGTGAGGGGCAGAGTTGGGAGTCAAACCCATGGAGTCAGGTTCCAGAGTCCATGCTCCATCATATCCATGTTCTGTTCTTTTCGGGCACAGGGTAAGACTACATTTCCCAGCCCCTCCCCCCGACAATTAGGTGTGACCACCGAGTTTTGGGCAATGGAATATGAACAAAGACGATGTGTGCCATGCCCAGGTTGGCCTGTAAAACCATTCCATGGGTATTCTGTGCTCTTTTCCATCCACAGTGTGAGTGGGGAAAAAATGCAAGGACCTGAAACAGGAAGAAACCCCCCAGATCCCAAATCCCTATGGCAAGCCTGGAAGGGGACACCACTATGTCACGAGAGAAACCATCCCAAGGAGGGCAGTCTCACGAGCTGACAGCCTCCAGGTGTGGCGTCTTTGGGTATGCCTCAGAGGAGGTCACCCTCTTCCCAGACCCCACCAACCATGGACTGAGCATGGCAGAGGAACAAGGGCTCCTCACTTCTGGCCAGTGTAAGACCTGACTACAGGTGATCTCTGAGCCCACTGGTCCAGCTGGAACTTTCTTAGAGCAGTGCTGCTGCCAGGGACTGTTCCTACCCGAGCCTCTTTCCTTCCCCACACCCTTTACTGATGTCAGACCCACCGCACAGTCTGAAGGCTCACCCTGCCCATCTCTCTTCATATCCTTTCAAAGGAATTTCCCCAGGGCCCCTCTAACTCTGAGCATCTGCTTCCCAGAACACCAACCAACACACCCCTTCAAGCTGCACTTGACAATGACATAAGCAAGAAATAACTTTCATGCATGAAACTTCTGGGCTATAGAGGTGTAGTCACTACAGAGAGGCCGCATCATCTAACAAACATCCTTAAACGCCTGCTGTAAGCATTTTGAAACATAAAGAATCAGCACACCTGGGGAACTATTAAAGAAGGGTAAAGACAGTTGAGAGAGACAAGAAAAGATTATGGGAAAGGGTACAAAGTATATATGCCTTACATTTTAAAAAGTGTTCTCCTATCATTCAAGACACTTACGTCAAACCAGAATTTCAGGGATACAGCCAGATATAACTAAGGTATGCTGAGTTTGGCTGTCTTTTTTTTTTTTTTTTTTTTAAAGACAGGATCTCCCTCTGTCACTGAAGCTGGAGTGCAGTGGTGCCATCATGGCTCACAGCAGCCTCAACCTCCTGGGCTCAAGTGATCCTCCCACCTCAGCCTCCTGAGTACCTGGGACCACAGGTGCACACCACCACCACCACACTAATTTTTTAATTTTTTGTAGAGACATGTCTCACTGTGTTGCCTAAACTGGTCTTGAACTCCTGGACTTGAACTCCCAGTATCAAGCAATCCTCCCACCTTGGCCTTCCAAAGTGCTAGGATAACAGGCATGAGCCATCATGCCCTGCTGAACTAGGTTATCTTATTCGCCTCTGTCCCCCTTTGCCTATCAAAGAGTTTGGCCCCAAACAGGTGTTTAATACATCCTAGCTGGACTAAATTACTGCTGCCTGGCAGATACAATCACTGCTGGTGGGTAGAGCCTGAAATAAAAGTAGTCATATCCATAGCTCTGTCCCAAACAGCTTATTAACTCCAGCCATCTTGAGTTTTTCACACCCCTTCCCCGGGGTGATGGACAGACCATCTGCTTCTAAAAGTCTCCAGAGAGCCAGGCTGTCCATCCTGAATACTGAGAAAAACTGGCATTTCTGTATTCTCCCTGAAGCTGTCACTCTGAATTCTTGGCCGGCTGCAGACTGTGTTATTTGAAGATGATGGAGCCATAGCACACATCTCTCCTCTGCACTATTAAAGCCAATTACCCAATTTACAAAATGTTTCTCAAAGACTGGGAGATACAAACTGCGTTTCCTAATTAGCTGTCAGTAAGCCTCCCCACATATGCAGGTGTGACATTTTTAAAAGTCAGGGTCACAAACACAAAGTGTACTCGGGCTGCCGATCAGGAGAGGGGTGCTCTTTTCTGCAGGTTTGTGCAAATATCACATGTTGGCAGCCCTTCTCCGGGGGTGGGGGCTGGATCGCCCTCTTAAGAGATACCAAACTCCAACTACGTGTGCCACCAAGCCATCGCCACTCCTTTCCATTCCACATTTGTGGGGCACATTGGTTCAACATTGGCTGGGCGCCTGAGCTAGGTAGGGGAAGATGAGATGGGTAAGACTGGGTCCTTGCTCTCATGGGATTTATAATGTGGAGTGGGTGAGAGACATGGAAATAATTTAGCAACATGTAGTAAATGGTGTAATGGAGGGTTGGACCTGGAGTTAGAGAATATTCATTCATCCCATAAACGCACCCTGGGTGATGAAGAACCAGGTCTCATGGTAGATGCTGAAGACGCATAAAAAGTGACATACAGTCTTGGCCATCAGGGAGCTTTCCATTCAGGAGGGAAGAGAAGATTCAAACAAAAAGCCATAACACAGGGCAGGATAGAAGTGGGAGCAATGGCAGAGACAAAAGTCACGCAAAAAAGGAAGGAATATTCAAATTGCACTGAGATATTCTGCCAAGACTTCTTGGAGGAGGCGGCATTTGAGCTGAGCCTTGCGAGAGGAACAAGAGACTGAGGTGGTGGGAGGGCACACCAGGCTGAGTTACCAGCAAGAGTGAAGGCTTGGAAATAGGAAGTTGCGGGGCACCTTGGAGAAGAGGTCCATCGTGTTCACTAGCAGGAGCACAGGATGGAGAAGGGATGGGTGGGTTCGGACTGGCTTGAGCCAGTGCGTCGGGAACACTGAACACAGGTAGGTGTGGTTTTCTTTCCTTCAGGCAGTAAGAAGTCACTGCAGCACTTTCACCAGGGGAGTGCCGAGAGGGAAGAGGCACTTGCTTTACACAGATGCCTCTGGCAGCTGGGGCAGAGGAGGAAGACCCAATGGGGAGGAAGGAGGCTAGGGAGAGGTGGGTGCATTGGTCCAGGCGTGAAGTGCTGGTGGATGGCTTGGCAAGCAACTTGGCCTAGCACCCCTAGGAGAGACATGTGTCCACTGGGGAATTCATTAGCTAAAGGCCTGTGAGGCGTGGGTTTGACCAATTCATGATATCAACAAGACTCGTTCAAATGAGTCCATCTCAGTAGTCTCCTTCATGGGAGGTCAATGATGGGAGAGACTGATGAGGAAAGAGATCGAAGAAAGAATAAACCAGCTATGTCAGGCATAGGATATGAGCTCCAGACCTGCCACTGCCTCACTCTGTGACCCCCACCTCATCTATGCTTCACTTAAAAAACAAAAATGTTGAGTTAGCAGATTTGTCATTCAGCAGAGTTTGCAAAGCAAAGCAGGCTATACTTTGGCAATAAACAAACCCTAAATGTCAATGGGTCACCCCAGGAAAAGTTGATTCCTCTCTCAAGCAAGGGGGGCACTTGACACATCCCAGACACCTAGGAGCCCAAGCTAATGGAACAACCGCCATCTTGAATGCAGCCAGTTGCTAATGGGGAAGGAAAATGAAAACTCTGGAGAGGCTCAGCCAGCAATTAAATTGACCTCATTGACTGGACATGGCCCATGAGACAGGCATGGCCCCACCCAAGTATAAGGGACACAAAGTGCAACTTACTAAGTGAGGAGAGAACCAGATACCTGGGAGCCTACTATGACTGCCACAGATGATCTCTCAGATCCCTTCCAGCCTACCAGTGTGTGTTTTTGTCTGCACTCAAGGCCAGATTTTGGTTCAATTTATACATATCCAGCTAACATTTATTTAATACTGACCTATGTGCTAGGAAATAAGCTAAATTCTTTTTACGCATTAGCCCACTTACTATTTATATTTAATATTTGCAGTGACTCCATGGGGTAGATACTGTTATTAGCATTCATTTAACAGAGGAGGAAAGACAGGTTCAGGGAGCTTAACTGACAAGTTCAAGATTACATGACTGGTAAGCCATGAAGCCTGCACTCAAACCCAGGCTATCATACTCCAAACCTTATGCTCTTAGAAATAAGGCCATCTCTTTAGAGCTGGCCAGAGATAGTGTAAAAGGCCTTGGAAAGCAGTAATAAGTCATCAGGAGAGTGTTGTAGAAATGATTATTTCACCAAGTGAAGGAATAGATTCTAATCCTGAGAATCCATAAGGGAAGGCAAAGAGCCAGGGAAAGTGAGGATATGTCTTAGAACAGCAAGTCCAGTAACTCTCCAGGTTGGAGCACTAAAAGGGTGAATGGTAGATGCGAGGGGTGAGACTGGAAAAGGAGGTTGGGGCAGCCTCTGGTAGGCCCTGAGCCAGCCAGTGCCAGCTTAAGGAGGTTGCCCCTTATTTTTCAGTCCATAGGGAGTTTCCCTTTGTTTTGTTTTACCACTTTATTTTAGTTATTTATTTTTTCTTTTTTGAAGACAGGGTCTCACTCTGTTGCCCAGGCTGGAGTGCAGTGGTACAATCACGGCTCACTGCAGCTTTGACCTCCTTGGCCTCAAGCGAGCCTCCCACCTAGGTCTCCTAAAGCTCTGGGATTACAGGCGTGAGCCACCATGCCTGGCCATTCTAATTATTTTTAAGTGTACAACTCAGTGGCATTAAGTGCACTCACCATGTTGTGTAACCATCACCACTGTCTATTTCCGGAATGTTTTCATTATCCCAAACAGAAAAGCTCTGCACCCATTAAACCCTGGGGCTTCTCAAGAGTGCTTCGACCTGATCATGACATCGCCAGAGCTGAGGACAGGGACGACGACCCTGGCAGCCACTTGAAGGTCGTTATTCAAGTGAGGAAGGGCAGGGCGTGGGGAGGGGTGAGAGACCAGTGCAGTGGTCCAGGGACAATGGCAGGAGCAGGGGGAAGGGGTCAGATCAGAACAAGAGGAAGAGTAGCCTCTAGGAGAGAGGGGAGTCCTAGTTTCCTTCAGGGGCTGTGTGAGTCTGGGCCACCAGGACCCCCTGAGGTAGAGAAGCCAGGAGGGGGTGCTGGGTCCAGGGGACACTGCTGAGTCCAGCACTGGGCACAAGGCTGGTGAGGCACTGGCCAGCTGCCCACGCTACCGACTTTCCCTTGGGAGCCATGTCCCCGAATCTGACAGTCCTTCCTAGCACACGGGCCAGAGCTATCCCGACAGCTCCCCCATGTGCAAACACCCACTGGCCGCCTGCTCACAGATGAAGGGGGGCTGTAGGGTGGGTCCTCACCCCGTCACCGTGGCCACACTCATTCCTCAGGTGCCCATGCTCCCTCTGCAGCGACTCAGCTGGAGTTAATTATGTGCCTCGCTTGTCCTCCAGCTGGGGACATGGTGGTCACTCCCCCACCTGACAGATGAGAGCTGGGCTACTGTCACACATCACTGTGATGAGGGACTCTACTCAAGGGCTCCAATTCTCCAAGCCTGGCATAAGTCCTTCCGCCTCTCTGCATCACAAGCTGCTGCAGGCACCTGTTTTCAGAGGCCCATCCCAGAGGCGATTTCCCCAACACCCCAACATCTCAGGTCTGATCCCACAGGCACAGTGTCGCCCACACTTGGAGGTTGTAAGGGGGTTCTGGGGTCCAGGCTGCACAAGCAGCCTTGGGCACAGCTGTGTTCCCATCTCAACATCCTGCTCCCAGGTCCCAGCTCCTCTACATCTGAAGCCCTAATGCACCTTCCCAGTGTCTAGCCCCAGGACTCATTTCTGGCCCGCCTCCCACCCCGTGGCTGAGAGCCTGCTAAGGGGTCCCCAAGCCCATCACGACACTGCCTGCGCAGGGGGTGACGCCTGGTGCTGCCCCTGGATTCACGGAAGAATGTGAGGCCTCTCCCTGCCTAGGAAAGGGGGCAAAGGGGTTTCAGCTTGGAACCTTGCTAGACGGACAGACCAGCAAACAGATGCCACCAAGTGCTGGGAGGGGAGGGGAAGGGAGGGGCTCTGGGAGAGGAATTTGCTGGAGGGGTGGGGCCCAGGGAAGGTTCCTATGGCTCATTGAGGCAGCAGTTTGGGACCAGTGCATTTAGGAGCATAACCGCCTCTGGGGAAGCCCCTCGGCAGGACCCCTCAACAAGATGGCTGGCAAAATCTGAAGAGCAGCAGCCTTTGGAAGGCCAGAGGGAGGTGCAGACCTGCACAGGGCAGCCCATCCCCAGAGGTGAAAGTCAAAGTCCACATCTGATAGGGGAGCTCACAAGCCTGGTCCTCCCTTTGTATAACAGGGAAGTAATGCTGGGAAGCCCTAACCATGGCACTCGAGGGAGCTGCATGGGGCAGAAGCTCGAGCCCTTTGCTAACCATGAATGCTGAATTTATTCAGTTTGATGTGCTAGGCGTTTACTGAGGATCTCTTTCAGGCTGAGATCTGCCAGGCACTTGGCAAACAGGAGGAAACAGGTCAGAGCCCGGTTCTCAGGGAGCTCACGTGCCAGCGGGGATGAGAGAGGGCACAGTCACCGCAGAGAATGGTGTCTTAGTCTGCTTGGGCTTCTATCACAAAATACCACAAACTGGACAGATTAGAAACAACAGAAACTTATTTCCCACCGTTCTGGAGGCCAGAAAGTTTGAGATCAAGGCGCCAGCAGATTTGGTGTCTAGTGAAGGCTGGTTTCCTGGTTTATGGACAGCGCCTTCTGGCTGGGTCCTCACATGGTGGGAGGGGAGAACAAGCTCCCTTGTACCTCTTTTATAAGGCAGAATCCATTCATGAGGGCTCCACCCTCGTGACCTAATCACCCCCCTTCCCAAAGGCCCTACCTCCTAATACCATCAGTTTGGGGGCTAGGATTTCAACATATGACTCTTGGGGGAAAGGAAACTTTTAGACTGCAGCAGATGGGAGAGCATATGATGAAAGGGGCAGCAGAGAGTGTGGGGCCTAGAGCCGGCCACCAGATGTAGTGCCAGGAATCAGGGAAGCCTTCCTGCAGGGGCGGGGTGCTTGGTACTTGTGCTGAGTCTTGATGCTTAAGGAGAAGTCAGCCACATGGCCAGCCCATTCCTCCCTATTCTTTGAGCTTGGTAGGGAGAGAGAATCCATGCTTTTGTTCTCTGCCAGGTCAGGAAAGCATTTTCCAAATGATACTTTACAAAAAAACAAAAACAAAAAAACTAAAGAGAAATCAAAATGAAACTAAATAATGATATACAAAAGCACAAAATGGCCCCATATCTAGAGGGCCAATTCCTGGATAGACAGGAGGCTGGAGGTTGTATTTATAAGGAAATGAGTTGCGTGAGAGAAGGAGGTTGCCCAGAGTACACAGCAATGGAGATGAGCCAATCTGGGTCTCCTCCCACAGCCATAAGTCCTCTTTCCCCAGCCACAGGTCCCCAAACCCTTAAGAGGGTATATGGCTTCTGCCATGACACCTGTGTCCCATCCCCTTTGCCTGGCCAAGTCCATGCATCTTGCTTTCTTCTGGAAGTCTTTGCCAGGTGAGATGCCCCTTCCATGGGCTGAGCCAGCACCCTCTGTTGGGGAAGGCCCATGGAGACCCTGTCTCCTACATCTCTGTAGCTTAATGGTCAAGGGTCTGGCTTGAGCCAGGTGTCTGACTTCAAGTATCCCACTTACTAGCTGAAGGACCTTGGGCAAACTTTTAGCTTCAGTTTCCTCCCCCATAAACGAGGATGATAATAGTGTTTACATTATGCTGTTATGGTGAAGGTCAGATGAATTCATTCATTCAAAGGGCTGGAAAGAGTGCTGGCACCGGTGAACACTTGGGAGATGTTAGCTGTTCCATGTACTGCCTCAGGACCCCTGCACCTGCACACACTGAGTGCTCCTACCTGTTTGCTGAATTTTCCCAATGGGGGAAATAAAGGCAGTCACAGCACAGCCTTGGGGGTGGGGGCTCTGGCTTATGGGTTCCCTTCTCGGGCTTCACATTTATATAGCTAAGAAGGACCAGGACCACACCTGCCCTCTCTGGTCCCTCCTGAGGAAATGGTAGGGGGATATCCTCAAAGCCCCCCTCCCAATTTTATTCCTATAACAGCCTGGCCCAGCCCAGCCCTGCCATGGAAGGAGCCGGCGATGTGGTCACGACAGGACCATATGGGGACCTGCCCCTTGCTATTTCTCACTATTTTGGGCCAATCTGTTGACATGACAACCAGGCTTTTAGACCCTGCCGCCCAGGGCTCTGTTTCCATCCTTACGCTTGCATTCTGCAAAACACAGCCTCCATTCACCAGCTGCCTCCGCGTTTGGAGGGGCAGAGTCACAGATTCTGCAAGACCCCCTCCCCTTAACAGCTAGAGCAGGCAGCAGGTAAGACCTCCCACCAGCATCCCTACTCCCAATATGCATGGGAATTGGCAGCTCCCCTCCCCAAAGCCTGCAAGCCTTAGGCAAGCACTGAGGGAGGCCAGGCGACTACCTCGAAGCTTTGCATGAAACCCCAGGGCTGACTCGCCTTCCCTAGCAGGAGCTGATAAGGCCCACCCCTATGCTGTGCTCAGTCTCCAGATACTCATATTTTAGGAAATATTAGGTCAACAAGGGATCCCAGGGGTTGTCTGGGCCAAGCACTGCATTGTGAACCCAAGTGGTGCAGCTTATCTGAGATCTGCAGGCCCCCACCCGTCAGCCTAGGATTCAGGCCACCCCACCAAGATTCCATACATGTTGCTCTAAAATAGATGGCAAAAAATGTGTGTGTTCTCCTGCACAACAGAGCATACAGAATTTTATTCTTATGCTGGGAACTTTGTGATCACAAACAACATGCCAGGGACAACATGCCAGGGACAACATGCATGGGCTGAGTGCCCACTAGGGTGGCAATAACAGCAGCCAGAAATAATAATAATGGCACTGAACTCCTGAAGCTTGCTATGTGGCAGGGAAAATCCTGCACACTTCACAAGCATCATCTCATGAAGCTGCATGTCCACAGCAACCCCCATTTTACAGAGTTGGAAACAGAAGCTCAAAGAGTTTACATAACCAACTCCAGGACACACAGACAGCAGGAGGGAAGCTGGGCTTGAGGCCAGCCTGTCTGTGCACTCACCCACAACCTCATGAATCTTGGTGGTTGGAGGGCTCAAGGATGAAGTGGCAGCAAGCATCACTGCCTTCCCAGAATCCCCAGAGCCACCTGGGGTGAGGGCACAGGTAAGGAAATTTCCAGCAATGCACTCAGAGCAATAAGAAAAAATGCTGGGGAGGGGAAGGGTAGATGATTGGGAAGAGCAGGGAAGAGAGTATTCACTTATAAGTAAGCTCTTTTTATTTTATTTATTTTCATTTTTATGGAGACAGAGTCTCACTCTGTCTCCCAGGCTGGAGTGCAGTGGTGCAATCTCGGCTCACTGTAACCTCTGCCTCCCGGGTTCAAGCCAACTCTACTGCCTCAGCCTTCCAAGTAGCTGGGATTTACATGTGTGCACCACCACCTCCGGCTAATTTTTTGTATTTTTAATAGAGATGGGGTTTCACCATGTTGCCCAGGCTGGTCTTGAACTCCTGAGCTCAGGCAATCCACCCGCCTTGGCCTCCCAAAGTGCTAGGATTACAGGTGTGAGCCACTGCGCCCAGCCTACTTATAAGCAAGTTCTAGGAGCTGTGCCCTAAGCTAGGCTCATTCAATGACAACATCCACCTGAAAAATTTCTTTCTTAGAAGAGGCCAGTGACTAGAACTGAGGAGGCCAGAGAGACATCTTGGAGGAGCAGGCTTTTGAAAAGGAAGGACAGGAGCGTCTTCATTTTCCACAGTTCAGGAAGTGCATCACCTACTCTACAGGTAGAAAGTATGAGATTCATACGCCACACCCATTGCATCCTCCACACTCTCTAGAAACAGGGTGAACACAAAACTACACAGGGAGATCTATTGTTAATATCGTGCATAAAGAAGAAAACAAAGGAATTTTGCTAGGAGGCTGGCGGGTGCAGTCAGCTGAAATAAATAAATTAAAATGCGGCATTGTTGTCTCTGTGTACATTTGTTTTAATTACTGTTTACTGAAAAACTAAAACTTCACATAGGAAAGAAGAAGAAAAAAAAAATCCCCAAACGTGCGTAACCAGTGTCTGTACGACAGATCTAACTTGGGGCGGGTGGGGTGGGACTTTCGTCTTCAGCTGTCACAGCAGCACCCAACCAGGGGTGCGCACACAGCAGATCAAGCATCTGGAACGGGCTTCCACATGGCTGGCAGACACTTGGACCTAAAAGCTCATCCAGCGAGCATGAACCTGGCTACCTAGGAGGCGGCATCACACAGCAACCCAGCCTCCAAGCCCACCTACAGGCCACGTGAGATGGGCAGAATTTTCCCTGTTCCATCACAGTACACCACATGTCCTCTATATGGTTTTCACTCTGTCTTTTATTAACAAGCCTCTTATAGACATAAATGGCTCCCCTGCCCCCTACCTCCTTAGCCCTCTGAAGTAGACCTACCTGAAGGCAAGAACCATGCCTGTGCCATCTTTCTTGGGCCTGGCACTGAGCTCAGGCTGACCGGGAGACAAGACGGGCACCCCCAGCTGCTGTATCTGTGGGGAATGGCAGAGAAGGCCTCATTCCTGGGTGGGATCTTTGGTGGCCTTGAAGGTGAGGACTCCAACCTAGGGGCTTCAAACTCAGTTCCTCAGGAGGCCTCTTGAAGAAAGACTGACATGGCATGACCCTACTGGGCAAGGCTCTGAGTCCCCACCACCATTTAACCAGAAGGGTTCCCTTCTGGAGATTTTATATGTGGGCTTCTAGCACATTTTGTTGGAATGGAAGGTTCTGTAGACAAGCAGAACAATGAACACCAGGAGACTAGAGCAGCCCCCTGAGGGCCTTGCCATAGTGGCTGGGCCTCACTCCATCACCTTGGGTCCTCTCAACCTGGGACCTGCAATGGACATACCAGGCCTGTTTAGCAAATGAACAGAGAAAACAAAACAAAACCTCTCAAGAAACCAGGGGAATCTTAAAGTTTCAACACAGGGTGAGGGGCCAGTGTTTTCTCCTGACCTGATGGAGGTTGAATTACACATGACCTTCAATCCCAGGCTGAGGGGGCCACCTCTGTCCTACGGAGCATGTGGCCCCAGGCCCCTCAGACACAGTATGCAGTGGTGCTGACGGGCTCTGAGCAGGGCATGCGGGTATACAGTGACCTGCCCAAGGAGGCTTAGGTGTAAACTCAGGACACAAAACAGACCTGGGGACCCCACCCCGCATGGCACCAGGAGGCTTTGGCCAAGTTGAGAAGAGGGGGACAGCACAGTGTCTGAATTAGAAGGTGAGGTAGGAATGCCAGGGAGAGATGGGGGTGGGTACAAGGCAGTTTGAGGACTGACCAGCCCGGTCTGGCTAAAGCAGGCAGTAGGAGAAATGGGCAGAGCAGGAGCTCCACAGTATTAATAGAAACTGCCTGGATGCAGAGAGTGGGAATGCGAAGAGTCAATTAAGAAAGGGGCAGGCACGCGCTGGCTAATTGCTGAAGCTGGGGGATGGGCTCATGGAGGCAGCTTATCCTACTCTTTCTACTGAGGCATGCATCTGAAATCATCCATCATAAAAAGCTCAAGAAAAAATAAGAAGAACAAGGAAGGGCTGTGCAGCCCCCCAAATCTCCCCTTTTCTCATTTCAATGATTCCAGGCACATCTGCAGGAAATATACAACCAGAGGCCCAAATCACAGCTAAGATGACAGGCATCAGGGCTGCAAAGATGGAACAGCTCCTCCTTCTCTGCTGGGCAGAGCACTTCTTCCCAGGGAGTATTTCTAGCTGACCTCCCCGCTCCAATAGCATCAACCATCATCTGTAGGCTGATGACCCCAAATCCCAACCTCCACCTCCCTGAAGCTCCAGACCACACATCTCCACCTGGGTGACCCACAGGTCCAAACCTGGACTGGCCATCTTCCCCTAAAATGTGGTCAGTGTCCCAGAAGGCAGAATACAGATGTGACTGGGTGAGAGAGGGGCTCTAGATTCTGACTCTGAGAAACCTGCTTTCTCTGCATAAGCCTTCTGCATAGGCATGGTGCTCAGCAAGTGCCCAGTACAAAGAAGGGCTCAGTAAACATCAGCTGTCACCATGACTATTGTTATTTGCATTCATGTTAGTATCAACGTTCACCTCTGCAGGTTCCCCAAGGCAGAAAACTGGGAGCCGTCCAAGACTCCATCGTTGCGTGGCCCCTCACACCTAGCCAGTCTCAAGTCCCGTACGTTCTACTCACTGAGTATCCACGGAACCGTGCCAGCCTCTGCACCGCACCGCCACATGCGTGTGTCTGGCCTCACTGTGGCAGGTGACTCTGCTTCCAGGCCTGCTACCTCCCCTCTGCTGGTCACCTCCCTTCAGAGTGATCTCCCTAAAATGAAAAGCTTATCATGTCCCTCACTGATCAAAAGGCTTTCATGGCCCTCTGGTCCCCCGGTGAGCACCCTATTACTGTGCTTTCCAAGGCTCAGCTCACATGTCACTTTCTGCTCCAAATCCTCCCTGATCCCAGTAAACAGGACTGACCACTTCCACCCTGTGCCCCACTGACCTCATACAAACTTCTACAACAATAACAGTGCTGCTCAGACTGTCATAAAACACACAATTTCCAAACAAAACAAAACGTATCAGAATACCAATGTAGATTGTCAAATTTTATTTTCTCAAGTAAAGACATTAAAAAACAAAACATGGGCTGGGTGCAGTGGTTCACACCTGTAATCCCAACACTTCGGGAGGCCAAAAAGGGAAGATCATTTGAGGCCAGGAGTTTGGGACCAGCCTGGGCAACACAGCAAGACCTCATCTCTACAGAAAAATTTGAAATTAGCCGTGCATGGCGGTGCACATCTGTAGTCCCAGCTACTTGGGAGGCTAAGGCGGGAGGATCACTTGAGCCTATGAGTTGGAGCCTGCAGTAAGCTATGAAAATGCCACTGCACTCCAACCTGGAGGATGAAGCGAGACCCTGTCTCTTAAAAAAAGAAAATAATAAATGAAATAAATAAATCAATAAACAAATCCTAATGTCTGCTATCACCACAATTTAATTTTTTAAAGGACATAAGAAGGAAGGAGGAGGAGGGAAGGGAAGGCACCATCTCAAAGTGAAGGGTGTTCTTTAAAACAACAAAGTCAGCTCTGTTAAAAACTTACCCTTATTTTCCTCAGGGCACCATGGTCTCTTGAAGCTCTGTTAAGGCCAGTATGGGCCAAGGGCTGGTCATTGTGAATGTTTCCTGGTTTGTTCCCATCTCCCACTGGAAGCTGTGAGTGACTTTCAGGTGGGCACTGCCAGGCTGAGCCTGGAGATGCAAGTGTGGGGTAGTGGATGTCAAGCCCCAGCTGCCTGCGATTGCCAAAGTCAAGTACAGCACAAACAATGTGACCACAGGGAAGACCCTTAGCTGAGTTGCTGAGTTGGTTTTAGAAAGATTTTACTTGAACGGCTCTTTATTTTTTCATTGTTATTTTTTTGAGACAGAGTCTTGCTCTGTCACACAGGCCGGAGTGCAGTGGTGTGATGACAGCTCACTGCAGCCTCACCCTCCCGGGCTCAAGCAATCCTCCCTCCTCAGCCTCCTGAGTAGCTGGGACCACAGGCTTGCACCACCATGCCTGGTTAATTTTTTTTTTTTTTAATTGTTGGTGGCCGGGTGCGGTGGCTCACGCTTGTAATCCCAGCACTTTGGGAGGCCGAGGCAGATGGATCATGAGGTCAGGAGTTTGAGACCAGCCTGGCCAACACAGTGAAACTCCGTCTCTACTAAAAATACGAAAATCAGCTGGGCGTGGTGGCAGGCACCCGTAATCCCAGCTACTTGGAAGGCTGAGGCAGGAGAATCGCTTGAACCCGGGAGGCAGAGGGTGCAGTGAGCCGAGATCGCACCACTGGGTGACAGAGCTAGACTCTGTCTCAAAAAAAAAAAAAAATGGTAAATGTCTCATTATATTGCTTAGGCTGGTCTTGAACTCCTGAGCTCAAATGATCCTCCCTCCTAGACCTCCCAAAGTGCTGGGATTACAGGCGCGAGCCACTGCACCCAGCCTACAACTCCTCATTTTAATATCGCTCAGGAAGCACACCCTGCAATAACGATGATCATAATAATCCTAAAACAAACCTGCCCAAGCACTAGGGAACAATTTGAAATTGTTAATTGATTCAGTGGGAGGGGAGAAAACTGGAGGAAAGAGAGTGCAAGTTCTCACGGAGATGCTCGGTTTCTTTTTTTAGCAAACTACCTTGTGCCTGTCACAGTCTTCCCTGAAACACCCAAACATTCACTGGATTCCACAACGTGGGGCCATAGTCTGTACTGGAGAGTCCAGTATGCTACAGGCAGGAGCAGACATGGCCTGGGTTCAGCTGTGTGGCCTTAGGCAAGTCACTTTGCTTCTCTGGGCCTTCCAATCCTATCTATAAAGTGTAGTGATTCCTTATCTAGCTGTAGGGAGGGCCGGCAGACACAGGAAAACACAGGCTCTGGAAACACGAGGACTTGGCCACCCCCAAGGGACTACTGCTGGTATTCTTGTTGTTGCTAAGAAGACTGAATGCTCAGCAAATTTGGACTAAGAGAGAAATGGGTTTCATGTCAATAAATACCCCCACTCTCTCTGCCCCGTCTCCTACAGAGCACCTCATTTCATTTGCCAAGGCATTCCCTGTTTCAGAAAGATAAACAAGATCCCCAAAGGCTGGAAATCATTCTTCCAGCAACTTCCTCATTGTCCTGTTACAACTAAGATCTGGGTGGACATTCTCAGGCAAAGGATTTGGTCTGGAACTTTTCCACTGTGTTTCCTCAATGGCCAAGGTTCATTCATGCTAGAGAGAGGAGGAATTTAATATCGCTAATTACTTTTTAGGGAGCAGTTTCATCCTGGAAATTTTGAAATTGATTTCTTATCCAGTTTCCCCTTGGTTGATATTATTCTCTCAAGATCCTTACTGAACCTTCCAACAACACTTCTTTTATTCTCCTTCATGCTCCAGCTCTACGTTTGCTTTTTTTGTCCTCCCTCAAGGGCAAGGATCACCTCTCTGATTTTTGCCTCCCACCCTGGGCCTGGCACACAAGTCAGGCTCCACCAGTGCACTAGAGAAACAAAGACACAAAGATGTGATTTTCCCAAAGCATGCTTTCTGCAACTGCAGCTCAGAAATCTCAAACGGTTCAAGATAAGAAACTGGCCCAAAGCTGATTAATTTTGCAAAACAGACCTTCCAGGGTAGCACACAAGATCTTCAGAAAGAATATTCTGGTTCTTACTTCCCACTGAGAGCTTCAGGGACCATAATTAGAGCAGCATGGAGCAACAGACTCCGCTCTGGTTCACTAAACCCCAAGAACCTTCCTACCAACATGGACAAAAATAACGTCCCGTTCCATCTGAAAATATCACCTAGAATTCAGATGTGTGCTCTCTCATTGTGTTCTGTGCATTTTTAAGTAGCTCTGTTTGGCTGGGTTTTGACAGCTGGAAGCTGAGGCTTGGAGACCCGCCCGGGCACAGGGTGGTGCTTTTCAAAGATGCAGACCACTGCGTCAGAACCACCTGGGGGCTTGGTAAAATGCCGCTTCCCAAGCGCTATTCCAGACCTACCAAACCGGAATCTCTAGGGCTGCTCCATTTTTAATACACATCCCTGATGATCCGGGTACACACTAAAGTTTGAGACGCCAGCTCATTTTCCTGCCAAGGAGCTTTGCTTATTCCCCCACCCAACCTCCCACACACATCCATTTCATCGGCTTTATTGAGCAACAGTTTCTGCAGGACAGGACATCCATGCAGCTCTATGGAGTCACAGACTGCAGGTTCACCGAAGTTCTCAGTGTCTTGGTCTCTGCTCCAACATCGCCCTCACCCTTCCTAAAATAGCCACCAGCCATCCTTTGGGCTCCGAATGTTTGCTTTTGTTCCAGAAGATTGTGTTGTCATGCTTTTCCCTTCTACCCACAACATGTAGAAGGCTGGGCAGAGTAGGGCCTCAGAAATTGCTTACTGATTGACCAACACCTGCATAAATTGGAACACTCACTGGAAGATTGGTCCTTACATATGCATTTGTTTTTAATGCTGGCTGGATGCTCATACTAATAGAGACAACAATGGTAATCATAAGAATCATAATGCTGGTGAGAAAGATCTTTATATAAGGCCCTTTCTAGGTTACAAAGATATGTCACACATTTTCCCCTTGATAGTCATCTGTAACACTCAAAACAAACATTATCACACCCACTTTACTAATGGCAAACTGAGGCTCGGAGAGATTAAGTGGCTTTCCTGAGGACTCACAACTAGTTGTTTGCGGGGCTGGTACTCCAATCTAGACCCCTCATCTCCCAGGAGTCAATCATTCTTTCCCTGATCCAGTAAATAATGACTGAGCCCTCATGATATGCCATTCACCACACCAGAGCTAAGGACCAAGAGCCAAGGCTGACGTGGTCCCTGCCCTCCTGGTCTCCCACCCACATCACCCCTAATGACATGGAAGCTGCCATCAGCCAGGAGACAAGATACGTACATGGCAAGGCCAAAAGGCAGAACAAGTCAGGGTGTGCCCATGAGACGAAACCAGGGCAGCAATGCCCCTCTCCTTCTGTTGAGGCCTCCACAGGGATGTACAGTGCAACAGCGGAGTAGCCATCCCCAGGTCAGGTTTCCAACTGCACCTGCCCTGCCAGTCTCAGGTGCTGTGAGCCCCAGAGCTTGGAGGCAACAAGGGGAGCACAGCTCTCAGCATGAACACGGGGATTTTCAGAAAGGGTGGAGCAAGGTGGCCTTGGTATAAGCTGCCATTCCCCAGGACGGTACTGCAGATCTGCAGTGGGCCACTCGCCACCCTGAGGCTAAGCTTGCATCTGTATCTCAGGCTACGGACTCTCACCTGCCTTACAGAGCTACTGTATGCCCACATGAACGTGATGGGGAAACCCACAAGCCCAGCTTGAGGTCGGCAATCACCGTGATTCCTCAGGGGCCCACTTCCTTTTCTTAATGGATCTTCTAAGGGTCTAGGGACTGCTGCTGCCATTTGGGGCTATGGCAAGGAGTGCCTCTAGGATACCCTGCACATTCACATCTTTCTTTAACTGAGGCTTCAAACTGCGTGACATAAGCAGACTAGTCATGAGACTCCAGCACATCACTTAACCTCGTAGCATCCCATTTCTTCACCTGTAATTCGGGATAATGGAACTGTTCTCCTCGAGTTCATGTGAGGATTTTTTTTATTATACTTTAAATTCTAGGGTACATGTGCACAACGTGGTCTGTTACATATGTATACATGTGCCATGTTGGTGTGCTGCACCCGTTAACTCGTCATTTACGTTAGGTATATCTCCTAATGCTATCCCTCCCCCGTCCCTCCACCCCACTACAGGCCCCGGTGTGTGATGTTCCCCTTCCTGTGTCCAAGCATTCTCATTGTTCAATTCCCACCTATGAGTGAGAACATGCGGTGTTTGGTTTTTTGTCCTTGCTATAGTTTGCTGAGAATGATAGCTTCCAGCTTCATCCATGTCCCTACCAAAGACATGAATTCATCCTTTTTGCGGCTGCATAGTATTCCATGGTGTATATGTGCCACATTTTCTTAATCCAGTGTATCATTGAGGGACATTTGGGTTGGTTCCAAGTCTTTGCTATTGTGAATAGTGCCGCAGTAAACATACGTGTGCGTGTGTCTTTATAGCAGCATGATTTATAATCCTTTGGGTATATACCCAGTAATGGGATGGCTGGGTCAAATGGTATTTCTAGTTCTAGATCCCTGAGGAATCGCCACACTGTCTTCCACAATGGCTGAACTAGTTTACAGTCCCACCTCATGTGAGGATTTAAAGGGTAAATACATACAAACTGCTTGTAATAATGCCTGGCACATCAGAAGCACTGTGGTGTCTATTATCTTTTTTTTTTCTTTTTTTTTTTTTTTGAGATGGAGTCTCACTCTGTTGCTCAGGCTGGACTGCAATGGCACAGTCTTGGCTCACCGCAACCTCCACCTCCCAGGTTCAAGCGATTCTCCTGCCTCAGCCTCCCGAGTAGCTGGGATTACAGGCATGTGCCAACATGCCCGGTCGATTTTGTATTTTTAGTAGAGACAGGATTTCTCCATGTTGGTCAGGCTGGTCTCAAACTCCTGACCTCAAGTGATCCGCCCGCCTCGGCCCCCCAAAGTGCTGGGATTACAGGCATGAGCCACCGTGCCTGACCTATTATCATTTTTTTATGATAACTTTCCTTTTTTAAAAAAAAAGTACAAACAGTGCGAGAGCCACTGCTGCTGAGGAGAGAAGCGTCCACAGCAGCACCATGGGAGGTCTGATTGATCCACATGAATTCCTAGGCATTCAGACCTAAGAATCATCTTCTTCCTGCTTGCCCGCGGCTCCGCCTGCATCCAAACCGCTGCTCGCCCCATGTCGCTCGGTAGCTCAACAGAAGACCCCTGAAGGCTATGTGGGATTTGCCAATCTCCCAAACCAAGTATACAGAAAATCAGTTAAGAGATCTGGTTTTGATTCACGCTATGGTAGTGGGTGGAACAATCCAAAGTTTTAATCAAAGAAGGTGGTGTTCAGTTGCTGCTCACAATAGTTGATACCCCAGGATTTGGAGATGCAGTGGATAATAGTAATTGCTGGCAGCCTTACAATCGACTACATTGATAATAAACTTGAGGACTACGTAAATGCAGAATCGCATGTGAACGGACGTCAGATGCCTGATAACGGTGTAGCGTTGTTTATACTTCATTGCTCCTTCAGGACATGGACTTAAACCATTGAATATTGAGTTTATGAAGCGTTTGCATGAAACAGTATCATCTCACTTATTGCCACAGAAGACACACTCACACCAGAGGAATGCTAACAGTTTAAAAAACAGATAATGAAAGAAACCCAAGAACATAAAATTAAAATATATGAATTTCTAGAAACATAATAAAGAAGAAAATAAACTTGTTAAAAAGATAAAGGACCATTTACCTGTTGGTGTGGTAGGTAGTAATACTATCATCAAAGTTAATGGCAAAATGATCAGAGGAAAGCAGCATCCTTGGGGTATTGCTGAAGTTGAAAATGGTGAACACTGTGATTTTACAATTCTAAGAAATATGTTGATAAGAACACACATGCAGGACTTGAAAGAGGTTACTAATAATGTCCACTATGAGAACTACAGAAGCAGAAAACTGGCAGCTGTGACTTATAATGGAATTGATAACAACAAGAATAAAGGGCAGCTGACCAAGAGCCCTCCGGCACAAATGGAAGAAGAAAGAAGGGAGCATGTAGCTAAAATGAAGAAGATGGAGCTGGAGATGGAGCAGGTGTTTGAGATGAAGGTCAAAGAAAAAGTTCAAAACTGAAGAACTCTGAAGCTGAGCTCCAGCGGCACCATGAGCAAATGAAAAGGAATTTGGAAGCACAGCATAAACAATTAGAGGAAAAACGTCATCAGTTAGAGGATGAGAAAGCAAACTGGGAAGCTCAACAACGTATTTTAGAACAACGAACTCTTCGAGAACCTTGGAAAAGAACAAGAAGAAAGGAAGATCTTTTAAACTCTCTATTGACCACCAGTTACGTATTAGTTGCCAATATGCCAGCTTGGACATCAGTGTTTGTTGGATCCGTTTGACCAATTTGAGCCAGTTTTATCTATAATGATGGATTTAAGAGCATGACACACATTATTTTTGTTGTTGTTGTTCTTGATGGAGATTAAGATGCCGTCAATTGTCTAGGGTGTTGTGTACTTAGAAAGTAACAGCTCTACTTTTCCTACTTTTTCTTTTTCTTTTTTTATTAAACAGATTATCTTCAGTTGAATGCAAGATAACATTTTACTGTTGTATAATCATGTTCTGACGGTTTGATTGTTTACAAGATATTCCAAAATAAAAGGACTCTGGAAGGTTTTCATTGAGGATAAAAGGCCATAATATGATGCAAACTATGCTTCTCTATGATAATTATAATACAAAGGTTCCATTCAATGCAGTATATACAATAATGTAATTTAGTCTAACACAGTTGACCCTATGTTTTGACACTTCCATTGTTTAAAAATACACATGGAAAAAAAACCCTATATGCTTACAGTGCACCTAGAGCTTTTTTATAACAACTTCTTTTTGTTTGTTTTGGATTCTTTAAATATATATTATTCTCATTTAGTGCACTCTTTAGCCAGAATCTCATTACTACTTCATTTTTGTAATAACATTTAATTTAGATAGTGTTCACATATTGGCCCTGCTGAAATAGAATATAGCATCTTTCATATGGTAGGAACCAACAAGGAAACTTTCTTTAACTCCTTTTTACACTTTATGGTAAGTAGCAGGGGGAAAATGCATTTATAGATCATTTCTAGGCAAAATTGTGAAGCTAATGACCAACCTGTTTCTACCTATATGCAGTCTCTTAATTTTACTAGAAATGGGAATCACGGCCTCTTGAAGAGAAAAAAGTCACCATTCTGCATTTAGCTGTAATCATATATTGCATTTCTGTATTTTTTGTTTGTATTGTAAAAAATTCACATAATAAACGATGTTGTGATATAAAAAAATGTACAAACAACATGCATCAGTGGAGAATCTCTGCAATTGACATAGAATCATTTCTTATAAAACCATTGTTCCATCTCTTACAGACTGGCATCCCAGACAGCCTGAATTCTGCCCCCACTCCCCCTTCCAGCCCCTCTGTCACCCACCTCAGGTGCCCTACATCACAGTCATCTTGCAGTTGGCATTTCCCAAGCAGAATTTATCTTTTCCCATTTCTGTGCCTTTGCTCCTCACCTCCCTGCAGTTTCTCGCACCTCGAATGCCCTTACCCTTCCATCTATGAAATCCAAAGCATGCCCATATTTCAAGTGAACGTCGGGGAGGAGTGGGAATGGTCTCCTGACATTTCATTGGGTGATTTTTCCACATAACAGAGCACCTAACCCCTCCCAGCTATAACCCATCTGGGTGGGCTGAGCCCTAAGCCCTAAGCAATGAGTGGCAAAACTGGTTGAAGGGCAGGGCTCCAAGGTGGGTTTTTAGCAGTGAGCAAGGCATGGTTCAGGGGAGATGGTGCTCAGGGCCTCCAGCTTTCGGCCCCCTCAGAAGGGTGGGGCTGCTGGGAGTGGCCTGGGGCAGAGCTGGGCTCCAGGCTCCTTGGGTGCCAGTGGCACAGCCCTTACATCCTCAAAGTCTTTGTGATGCCCCGTCTGCTACCCTACTCAGTTTGTGTGGACGCTGAGAGCTCCAAACCCAGGCTCAGGGCCAGGACACTGGGCAGTGGCACTAGTGGTTCTGAAGAGGGCTTGCCATCGAAGCACTGGGAGGCTGTTTCCACAAGCCAAAAGGGCAGAGGGGCCATGGCCAAGATCAGAAACCCAGACACGGAGGCTGCACTTGGCAATGAAGGGGACACAGAAGCACGTGGATGTCAGGGGCTGTGGCTCACCATGCCCCAAACCAAACTCCTGTCCTCCCTGCGCCCCTCTCCCAGATGCCTCATTTCAGTGAACAGCACCCATCCTCCATCCGCCCCGCCTAGGAGGGCAGTGCAGCCTGCCAAGCGCTCCAGAAACTGCTGCCTGGACTCAACTCCCAGTTGGTGGCTTCCTGGTGGCGTGACAGTGGGCCCATTTAACCTCTCTGAGCCTCAGTTTCCTGCCTATAAAGAGAGGATGACAATAGTGCCTATTTCATGAGGTTTAAAATGAGTCAACCCATCTGGAGCAGTCAGGACACAGAGCCTGGCCCACAGCCTGCACTACGTGAGGGCTCACTTCTATAGTCAGGTCCTTAGCACTGCGCTGGCTGAAAGGCAGCCTGCAAAAATATGCATCCATGCCCTAACTCCTGGAACTGTGAATGCTGCCTTATATGGTAAAAGAGGGAATATTACCTTACATGGCAAAAATGTGATTTAGTGAAGGTTCTTGAGAGGAGGAGCTTATCCTGTAATATTCAGGTAGGCTATAAATCTCATGAGTGAGGCAGAAATAGACTAGACAGGCAGAAGAGAGAAGACAATGTGACCAGGGAGGTAGAGATTGGAACCCTGCAGACCCAAGTCAGGGAATGCCAACAGTCACCAAAAGCAGGGAGAGGCACAAAAGGATTGGTTTTCCCCCAGGGCCTCCAGAGAGACCCTGGCCCTGCCAAGACCTTGATTTCAGACTTCTGGCCTCTAGGACTGTGAGAAAAAAAAAAAACGTGTGCTGTTTTCAGCCACCCTGTTTGTGGCAATTTGTTCTGGCAGCCACAGGAAGCAAATACAAGGTGCCTCCTTAATCCCAGTTACTCAGGAAGCTGAGGCAGGAGAATTGCTTGAGCCCGGGAGGCAAAGGTTGAGTGAGCAGAGATTGCACCATTGCACTCCAGCCTGGGTGAAAGAATGAGGCTCTGTCTCAAACAAAAACGAACAAACAAAAAAAACAAGGTGCCTCCTTGACATCGCTCTCCCCACCTTCCACTGCTTTCTCAAGTCTCCCTCTGTCCAGGGAGGTCATTCCTCCCCGCTGCCTACAGAACCACCATCCTGTCCTCTCCCAACTGGGCTACTTCCACCCAACAATGGGCTCCTCAGCCCCCCGGAGATAAAGATTGGGATAAAGATCAATGCCACCCCCTGCCTCCTGCCCTGTAAGGCCCTCTGTGGCATGGCCGCTGCCATTTCCACTGCCTACCTTGTCCCTTGCTCACCCTGGTGTCTTAGGCTTCACTCACAGTCCCTTGTAGCTGCATGTCTCCTTCAGCATGGAGCCACCACACTTACTGTCACCCCATCCCATCCCTGCCCTAACTATTTCCTACTTGAGCTTCTCCAACAATGAAAACTGCTATGGATTCCTTCATCACATCCCAAGTGCACCCGAGGAATGAATGAATGAATGAATGAATGAATGAATGAATGAAATTGGAAGATTCCTATATCCCAGGCCTAGCTAACTGGACAAGGTATGTAAACCCAAGCCATAGGCTAGCTGCTGACCCATAACCTTGTAGGCCCAGGAAAAATGAGCTGGCAAGGAAGAGATTTTCTCTCTTGAAAATCTGGATTTGGAAATGTTAAGAAAACGAGAAAGTGCTCTTCAGAGCACACACCACTTTCTTAGAAAAGCCTCCCCAATTCTGGGTAGGTTCCCCAGCCACGCACACTCCCACCACCGGGTACCTTGCCCTCGTGGCTGTGGTCACACTACATCTGTCTGCCTCACTAGACCTCACGTTCCATGGCAGCCTTGTTCAGCACTGCTTCCCTGATGCGCCCAAGGAGTGAATGAATGAATGAATGGCAATTGACCGAGGAGCCATGTGAGTTCATCTCACAACACAGCTGGAGGCTACACCAGGAGAATGATTCATTCCAGAATCAAGGAGGTGGAGAACAGGCCTGCTCAGTTTCTGGTTGGTCTATCCAAACCCATCTTTGAGGCTCTATCTGGGCCCTGCCCAGGAAGAGAGAAGGGACCACCTGCAGATTGTCCCCAGAGTCAGCCAGTCTGGAGAGAGGACAGCCAATTATATCCCACGAGTCTTGGCTGCAGAGCCTGTAACTGTTCAGCCAGTAGAAGGGCCCCCTCAGGCCCAGCATGGCCTGCACAGCTCTGAGGGGCTCTCAGAGGCAGAGAGCACAGATGCAGTGTGTTTGGTTCCAGAGGAAAGGACCAGAACTAGGATATGGGGGCTGGGGCAGAAAGCTGCAGGGAGACAGGCACCAGCTGGAGAATAACGGCATTTTTTTCAAAGCCAGGGCTATGCTTGGATGCAACAGAAACGTGGCCGGTCAGCCAGCCCTGGAGCTGTCCAGGTGTTAGATGCTCACCTGTGTGACAGGCTGAGGAGGGATTCAAGCACTAGAGGGCCGCTTCTAACCCAGAGAGTCTGCACTTTTGTTCTCACTATCACAGTTATGTACATTCTAATGTGCTGTCACAGCCTCATCTGTTTCCTGGAGAATGTGACAAGCACTGTTTTATGAAGAAAGTAAACAAAAGAATCCCAGCCAAGGTGGTATCGCAAATTAAATTCACATTTTGAGGTCTCCTCCTCCTTGCTGTAATAAACACACAGCAATGATAGCTGAAATACAAAAATAGAAAATTTAAAGACATAGCATTACTCAAAAATAAAATTCTCAGGGGGGAAAAAACCACAACATGGTAAGTGGAGATGAGGCTGCAGGCTTGATGGGCTCTGAGTGCAATACAGACAGAGGTGCCTGGCATTGAGAATTCTCTGGGGTAACAGAGACTCATAGCACGCCCAAGTAAAGGCGGGGGCCAGAGCCACAATCAATGCAAAAGAGAACTATAGTCAAGCTCACTATTTGAAGCAAAGGGTTGGAGCAGAGCAGGTAGAGAAGGGCTTCCTCTGCTCTAGAGGAAAGCTGGGATGAAGTTCTACCAACTGCTACCTGCTGCCTCAGCCCACAGGAAGCTGCACGCTCTGGATGGCAGGACAAGGTGGAAAACTGTGACAGATGGAATGCAAACATGGCCAGTTATTCACCCCTTCCTATACCCATAGCCTTTGGAATGACTTTGACTCTCCTACCATCAAAAGGTGAGTTGGCACCCATGACCACCAGCTGATGCCTATAATTCCAACACCTTGGGAGGCCAAGGTGAGAGGATCACTTGAAGTCATGAGTTCGAGACCAGCCTGGGCAACATAATGAGACCCAATCTCTATAAACATTTTTAAAATTTAGCCAGGCATGGTGGTACACACCTGTAGTCCCAGCTAATCAGGAGGCTGAGGCACAAGAATCGCGTGAGCCCAGTAGATTGCGGTTACAGTGAGCCGTGATTGTACCACTGCACTCCAGCCTTGGTGACGGAGCAAGACACTGTCTCAGGGGAAGAAAAAAAAAAAAAGGGTGGAGTCTACTTTCTACCTTTTGAATCTGGGCTGGCCTTGTGACTTGATGTGGCCAAAAGAATATGATAAAAGCGAGAGGAAGCCTGTTCCAGGCATAGGCCTCAAGAGTTACCAGAAAAAGACAGTTTCTAAGGAGTCAATAACTGGATGGACAGCAGACATCTCTTCAGTAACAAGAGACCCAAAAGACAAATTCTGCAGGGAAGTAACTGCATGCCTGGAATTCTGAACTCTGCTAAAGCAGTATTCAAAAGTGAGAGGAAAACAGAGACATTTTAAGACATCCAAATATTAAGAGCGTTGACCATCCTTGGCACTCACCATATGCGCTAAGTACAACTTGAGAATGAACTCAGCCAGAAGAAAAGGGAACTCAGAAGAAGGAATAGGGCACAAAAAACAGTGGCGAGCAAAAGCATTAGGAAAATGTGTTAGCAAAGTTAATGAACTACTAACTGTAACACGAAAATAATAACAATTAAAATTTTTGGAACCAAAATTCTAGGAAACAATGATAGAACAGGTATTAGTGGGTTGTGATGCATGATTACAATTCTCATCAGATTCAGTAAAGGAGAATGATATTGAATAGCAATAGATTTGAGTAGAAAAAAAGAAATTAATTTAGGATATATGCTAAAGTGTTAAGGATATAACCACATCAGCAGAGGAAAAAGGGGGAGTGGCAGAAGGAACACTCAAAATAAGAGAGTAGAAATATATCACTAATCACAATAAATATAAACCAATTAAAACCACCTATTAAAAGATAAACTAGGCTGGGCGCGGTGGCTCACGCCTGTAATCCCAGCACTTTGGGAGGCCAAGGCAGGTGGATCACCTGAAGTCAGAAGTTCGAGACCAGCCTGGTCAACATGGTGAAATCCCACCTCTACTGATAATACAAAAATTAGCTGGGCATTGTGGTGCACGCCTGTAAATCCCAGCTACTTGGGAAGCTGAGGCAGGAGAATTGCTTGACCCTGGGAGGCAGAGGTTGAGGTGAGCCGAGGTTGCGCCAATGCACTCCAGCCTGGGCAACAAGATTGAAACGGTGTCTCAAAAAAATAAATTAATTAATTAAGTAAATAAAAGACAAATTAAAATGAGTAAAACAAAATGGGTTATAGAATGTTATATATAGTATGATGTCTACATAAAGCTTAAAAATACTATAGATTGTTTATGGACATGTACATCTGCAGTAAGATATAACAATAGAGATGAGAAACATAGAACTAACTTCTAGATAGCTGTTGTTTCTGTGGAGGGAAGAAGGGGGAAAGGAGAATGGAGAAGGATAAAAAGATGCTTTGGGGAGGGAGGGAGGGAGAGAGACAGACATGCATGAAGATCAACCCTGCAGAACTTGATCACAAATGGAGACTGTAAACTCAATTCATCCAGGAGCTGGCTCTTTTTAACACAGGTCTCAGTGATGCTATTGCCCAGAAACAGACTTTCAGGGTATATTAACCTTCCCTCTGCCTGTTGTTCTCTCAACCTGGAACAGCTTCTCTGTCCTGTAGCCTTTTCAATAAAAATCCTTCATCTCCCTCTGTTCAGCTGACACACCACTCTGATGGATCCTTCCATGAGAAGAAATGCCCCCACTCAGGGACAACCTCAGGTCAGCCCTGGGCTGGCTGGCCACCTCTGCCTCTCTCACTTTATAGGCTCCTGAGGCAGGATGCCACCCAACTCACCCCTGAATCACCAGCCCCTAGCAGGATGCGAGACACACTAGAGCACACGGTCAATGCAGATGGTCTGGATGTCTCAGCTGTAGACCCCAGAGGCACAGAGAGTCCTCCTGGTGTGAGATTTACTGAGGAAAGGAGGAAGGACCACAAGCCTATCTCAGCACAGTAACAGGTGGCATTCACAGCAGACCAGTGAAAAGGCATCAGCTGTTCCACAGAAGTGAAGTTCTACATAATAAAGCGTATATCATTAAGTGCTCCAACTTAAGCCATGTTTGAAAGACTAATTTTTAAAATGCAATTTAGACATGGCTGCAGGTTTTAGACATGCCCTTATTGTCCAAAATTCTTTCTCCTCCCCACCCCCAGGATATTTTGAAATTGCTAAGGTAACGTGCTTCCAGAAGAGTCCAACAATACAGTCATGGATAAAGCAGGAGGTGCCAAGTTGCTCCCCACTTCCCTTGCCTCCAATCTCACCCTCCAGGAATAATCGGTGTCGACCCCCTGCTCTCAAAAAACACATGGTGCTGTACATAGCCCAGATCCTTTCTTCCAGGCCACTCAGTGTGTGCCCAGAACTGTGCTGGACTCCTTGATACATATTTAATTTCACCCTCTAAACAGCTCTGTGTGGGAGGGAGGGTCATTGCTCCCAGAACAAAAGCCACAGTCCAGAATGTGACTCCAGAGCCTGGCTGCCTGCCTCTCAATCCCAGTTCTGTCATCTATGAACTAGGTGAGCTTGTGCAAGTTTGCACCTGTTTGTGCCTCAACTGCTTAGTGCTAATAAGTAGTACTTCCTTCATGGTAAATTGTGAGAATTAAATTCACACATGCAAAGAAATAAGAACAGTGTCTGACACGTAGAAAGCTGATAAATTACTATTTCCATCTTATAGATAAGGAAACTGAGATTCAGAGAGGTTAAATGACTTAGCAAATCCAAACAACGGTTAAGAATTTCAAGCCATGGACCTGCCAGAAACACATGTGGTCCCCAGGGAAGATACAGGGTATGGGGTGTTACACTGCCCTCCATCCTAATTTTCCAACATGCTTTTCAAATCCTCAGGGTCTTTGACATTTCTTCCCTTTCTCACCCTCCGGGTCAGGCAGTAAGCTGCCATTTCTTGCTGCTGGCTATCAACCCTACACTTGTTCCTAATTGGTTGACTTGCTGTAGTCTGGAAACCAAAGATAATACAACTGGTAAGAAAAGTACACAACACAAGTGCAGCTAGGAACTGAGAGAAGCCCGAAGCAGAGCTCCCAGACAAACCGAATGAGCCTTAAGAAAAGTTGGCCGGATGCGGTGCCTCACGCCTGTAATCCCAACACTTTGGGAGGCCGAGGTAGGCAGATCATTTGAGGTCAGGAGTTCAATACCAGCCTGGCCAACATGGTGAAACCCCTTCTCTACTAAAAATACAAAAATTAGCTGGGCATGGTGGTGCATGCCCGTAATTCCTGCTACTCGGGAGGCTGAGGCAGGAGAATCGCTTGAACCCAGGAGGAGGAGGTGGCAGTAGGCCAAGAATGCGCCACTGCACTCCAGTCTGAGTGACAGTGAGACTCCGTCTCAAAAAAAAAAAAAGAAAGAAAAGTCTTCTACTTTGGCAGTTTAGAGATCCACAGAGTCAGCTGGGTTTTGGATAGATGAAGTGACTGGATCTGTGTTCTCTGGATAAGTGAGGTATTGATGTATGAATATATTTTCTACATTTTAAAACTAAAGTTTCTGATTTAGGCATTTGTTAATTTCTCTGCCCTCAAAATGCAGAACCATGAATTGCAATCCCTTGGACAGTGTATTTCACTTTAAATATCTACATTCCAGGCTTCCCCAGGTACTGCATGTCAGTTCTAACCACTCTCCTCCATTCACATTCTGAAGGTATAAATGAGACCTAGAATTTTCCTGGGTCCCTGCTGCATTGCATTTAAATAACTTCCCAATCCACCACGATAAATTCTCTTTATGATGGATGATCACAAGTTTCTGTCAGATGTGCGTGTGAATGGATGTTAAACTATGCCACAAACTAAACATGCACTGGGTGCCGGCTCTGGGTTGGGTGCTCAGGGGTACCAAGGAAAGCCAGACCCAGCTGCTCCCCAAAGGAGGTGAGGATCTGGAGGGGTGAGGAAATGGGGCCCAGAGAAAGGAAAGGCAGCATGAGAAGTTAAGGGAGAGAATCCTAAAAGGAGTTGAGGATGTCTAGACAAGGAGACGCAAATGCAGCCTGGGAGAGCAGGGACACTGAATGACTGGGAGCCCCAAGTACCTCTAAGGTTTCTGATTTTATTCTCATAGTCACATTTTTGTGTTTGTTGGAATCATAATGAAAGCATACGCATTAGAGACATTGCTGTGGACCACACAAAAATACCAAGATTCAGCAGAAGGAATGACAAGGGAGATGGAACCTCCTGCACAGTCAGAGAACTTGGGTCCCTAAAGGGATTTCTTTGGCCTTGATTCTCTGATTAGATCCTCTCCAGTCACGATCCTGAGAATCCTAACCACTCCTCTAGTGAATGCAGGAGACCTAGGCCATTTGTTGGCACACAAAAAAAAGCTTCACGAAACCCAACACTAAAGTCACAGCAGAGACAAGTTCACTGTGGAGTCAGAACAAGACCACAGGCAGTGATGGAAGAATCATGGCCAGAGTGGACTTACAGCCAGACAGATCTGCACCCAGTGATGCCCCCACTACCTGCAGTCTGTATGACCTGGAGCAAGTCCCCTTACCACTCCGAGCCTCCGTTTCCTCATCTATTAAAATGGGATGACATCTATCCAATTGGCTTCTCTGTGAGGATAAAAAATGGGTACAGAAAAAGCTTAGCCCAGTGCCTGGTCTATAGAAAGTGCTCAAAAAAGAGTAGCTGTGGTTCTTATTCTTGCCATCATGAAGAAACGTGATTTTACCCACATCAGAGGCCTGTGTCCCCATGGCTGTCAGGCTCAGGGCTAACCGATCCTGCAGCTCCAGTTCTCTGGTCTCAGACTTCATGAAGGGCATCCACCTTTATTCCACAAGATCCCTCTAAATGGCTTAATCATAGGCACCCTCGGAAGGGGAACCACACTTGGCATAATTACTAGACTTGTGCCCTTTTTGTAATCTTGACTTTGTGGGGATTGTTCGATCACAATAGTTGGGGGTTTGTGCGCGGTATTTAATTAGGCAGATGAAAGCATGTTAGGATGAAACAATAGTATCTCTAATTTAATGACATGTTCTGCATCTTACCCTGCAGCAATGACAAAAGATGCCTCCATGCAAAGGAAAAAAAAAGGTCTGCTGCATCTCTCTCTCTCTCTCTCTCTCTCTCTCTCTCTCTGTCTCTCTGACTCTTTCTGTCTCTTTCTCTGAATATTTCTGTCTATTTCTCTCTCTCTCTCTGTCTATCTCTGTCACTGGGTATGCTTCTATCTCTCTTTCTGTCTCCCTCTCTGTCTCTGTGAGTGCTTCTCTCAGTGTGTCTCTCTCTGTCTCTTGCTCCTCTCTCTCCAGTTGACATCTGCCTAACATGGCTACCACCTCCCCAGCAGCCCTGGGGAACCAGCCTTTGCTAAGTGCTCCTCACTCCCTCCTTGATGTAATCATGACAGAAAGACTCCAGAAGAGACAGGCCCAGAGGAGAAAGTGAGGCACCAGTGTGACTGTCTGGGGCTTCTGGTCCCAACTCTGTGACCTAAGGCAAGTCACTCCCCTTCTTGCCAATGATCTCTTCTATAAACTGACAGCTTTAGTTTAGGCCTGGCCTGACTTTTCTTTTAAAAAATAGTTATAAAAAAGGAAAAAGAGAAAACATTCAATAAGAACATAAGTTGGTGGGGAAAAGTGAAGTGAAGTGTTCTAAGATCTTTATACTGCCTGTAATGAGCATACATATATTAAGTTTAAAATTTTAGAAGTTATATATTTTCAATTTTGAGGGTAAATATTAAAAGAATAGAAACATTATAACTCCCTAGCAAAAGGAAAACAGAAATAATAAAAATAGACAAACCCAAAAGAAGGTAATAAAAGAAACCTGTAAGAAGCAAGGCAAATATAAGCACAAAATAAAATTTTAACCCCCCACCCCTGCCCCAGAAAAAATTTATTAGGCCTTGTGCCCATGGAACCAAGATTTGAGGGAGATTTATAAAATTAAACATAGTTTAAGAAGGGATAATTAAACATAATAAAAACAAGATCATTAAGTACAGCCCAGAAAGAGAGATTTGCAGGCAGGTAACAGGATGATCTCAGAGGTCTTGTCTAGCTCTAAAATTCTATTATTTTAATTCTGGGCTGTAAAATGCCAACATTTACCCAAGTCAATAAACATCAAGAGACTGATATTTCATCGGAATCCAAGTCTGATTTTTCAATATTGATTTTTGTGAAGTCAATTTTGGTTAAAGTGCCTTTTTAAATTGGTGCTCCTGTGGTGTCAAATGTCAACATTTATTTTTCCAGAACTCTCCTTCCTGTGGGGACTCTGGTCAGCAAATGAAGCTTTTGATACTTGGAGTTCCTTGTTTTTCTTGCTTCTGATTGAGGGCCCTGATTAATAGTGTATGATGTTTTTCACTGAGCCTTTAGGGTTTCCATTGGGATATAAAAAGTAATTTCTGTATGCACCTCCATCATGAAAAAGCCAGGTGAGGAAGGGTCGCAGTGTGGGGGAGAAAGGAGGGTTCATCTGTGGTCTAGCTGAGCTTCCCAAGCTTCACGCATGCCTGCATATGAACCCCAGCTCACCACTCACCTGCTGTGTGGCCTTGTGCAGGTCACTTACCCTCTCTGTGCTGTGTTGGGTCATTGGCAAAATGGACTTAACACCTGTCTTACAGAGAGGCTGTGAGAAACCCGTGAGATAGTACATGTGGATGTCTGGCCCAGAGCCTGGCCCACAGGAGGCAGTCAGCAAATGCCAATTCTCCCAAACCCCTTGATTTATTTTCTCTGTACTGCTACATTTTATTTTTTCAAATCTACAGTAAAGCTGAAGGGATAGTACAATTAATACTCATATACCTGTTGTCTTTTCACCAATCACTAATATTTTCTCTCTTTCTCTCTCTCTCTCTCTCTCTCCCCGCTCCCAGCCCTGAATTATTTGTGTGTAGCTTGCAAAGATAAGACCACCTCACCTCTAATATCAGGGATTATCACCTAACGTTAAGGACCGTCTCCTACATACATTACCACTCTACACCTTTAAAAAGAAATATTTTAAAATAATCTTATTTAAAATAAAATCAATACTTTAAATTTCCCAGTTGTTCCAAAAATGTATTTATGGGTTGTTTTAAATCCTAGATTTAAAAAGAAATTCACACATTACATTTGGTTGTCAATGTCTCTTTGCCAACCCACCCTTGATTTTTTAAATGGTATTCCTCCAAAGCAAGCAGGGGACAAAAGAATAGCTGATAACTGGGTAGCAGAAGAGGTAAGAAGGAACTCTGGGAATTAGGTTTTGAATCTTCTTTGAGGCATTGGGTCCGGGTAACCTTGAGCTTCATGCTTCCTTTCTGCAGATGTTTTCATTATCTGTAATTGACGGCTTGCCCTGGCCCATCTCAGCACCTATTATTGCTCCGGTGGAGGGAGTTGAGGCTCAGAGGCTTTTGGAGTCACACAGAGCCCAGTCTGAATCCCACTTCGCTATCTGCGGGGCCCTCAGCAAACTACCTTCCACCTCTGAGTCTCAGTTTCCTTAGCTACAAAATGGGTGCACTAGTATTTGTGCCTACCTCCTAAAGCCATCATGAGAATTAAACATGTGAAACACTAGGCACAACGGCAGGCACAGCAATGGCTCAGTGGGGGAAAAAAAAGCTATTATTGTTATTAATGTTGCAGGAATTATAGACTCTACAGTCAAAGCTCTTATCTGCGCAGCAATTACCCTTGGCTTATAAAGAGCCCTTCACAATTTATGAAGCACTTTCTCCATTATCTCCTGTTGAAGGCATGGCAGTCCAGGGAAGTGGGCCACGTGGGGACAATTATCCCCACCTTAGAGAGGGGACTCAAGGCTCAGAGAGGTTGAACAGCTTGGCCGAGGTTACAGCTGGTTACAGAAGGAACCAGGACTTGCGGAGTGAAGCAGGGGCACCACTGCCATCCCACCCTCCAGTTCCAAGTTCTTGTTCTGTATCCATGGCATCCACATCGTGTGGTTCTCCATCCATTCTTGCCTTGAGAACACATATCCTGTCTTATTTCAGTCTGGACAGACTTTGTGACTCTGCTTCTCAGAGCCCCTGTCCCCTACCACAGATGGAATATGATTCCTCCACCTCGTCAGTCAGCTAGTGTTCACAGAGCGCAAAACAGAAAGGCATGCTGTGAACTGCGACGCATTCTGCAGACTGAAAGCAGCCACTGCTGCTATCAGACTCTGTGGGCCTACTAAGGGCTCCTTCAGGAAAAACATGCTCCTTTACAACGGGAGCCAAATAATTAGCCCAGAAAATTAAGGTCCCTTCTCCCAGGCCTCATTTCTGAATCATAAACTGCAAGAATCAAAGTCATTTTGAAAAATGGCTTTTTATTTGTCATGATTTTCATTTCCTCAAAGAGAAGGCATATTGTACTAGGCAAAAATCAATGCTTCCCTGTAATAATGTGCCTACAGATATCCGGTGCTGAAAGCCTCATGCAGAAGGAATGGAAGTGTATCTATACAATATATCAGTCACATCAAGAATCTGAAAATCAATTCTTTATGGGCTTGCATGAAAAATGCACAATTTTTTAATCAAAATACAAAACAACTGACTATAAGATTTTAAGACCGAAAAAAAAATGTGTCTTGCCACCAAAAAAAATGGTCTTTAGGCATCCCAACTAAAAATGCATTCTTTTAATGACCCAAATATTATAATTATCAGAGCATCCTCTACTTAAGAACCTGGTGACTCTTCCTTCATCCCACCTGCAACTCACATATATTTTATTTTATTTTATTTTACTTTATTTGGTGTTTTGCTTTGTTTTTTGAGACAGGGTCTTGCTCTGTCACCCAGGATGGAGTGCAGTGGTGTCATCACAGTTCATTGCAGTCTCAACCTCCCAGGCTAAATGGATCCTTCCACCTCAGCCTCCTGATTAGCTGGGACTATAGGCGCACATTGCTACACCTGGCTAATTTTTGTATTTTTTTGTAGGGATGGGGCGTCACCATGTTGCCCAGGCTGGTCTTGAACTCCTGGACTGAAGCGATCCTCCTGTCTCGACCTCCCAAAGTGCTAACGCCCATATTTTATAACTACCAAACAGAAACCCCCAGTCATGATAGAAAAGAAGGAAAGCAATAAATGTTTGTTCAGCTAGCTATGTACTGCAGTCTAGGCAAGTTTCAAGAGAAGCAAGAGTGATTAAGACCCACACCTGTCCTCAGGATGCTCAGAGTCAGACTGTATGTCAGACCATGGCACTCCTCAGCTCAAAACCTTCCTGTGGTGCCCTGTCTCGCTTGGAGTCAAAGCCAAAGTCCTTGCAGTGCCCCCCCAGCCCCATGTGGCCTGCCCTGGGGTGGTACTCTTTGATGTCACCTCTTTTTCTTTTCACAGTGGTGAGGCAGGTACTTGTATTAATTTCCTGTGGCAGCTGAGACAAATCACTGCAAACTTAGTGGCTTCAATAACACAGAGACAAACACAGAAGAGTCTTAGGGCAATGGAGATACTCCATACAATTCTGTAATGGTGGCTATGTATCATTACGTATTTGTCCAAACCCACAGAATGTACAACACTATGGACTCTGGGTGATGACGCTGTGTCAATGTCGGTTCATCGACTGGAACAAATGGACCACTCTGGTGGGGATGTTGATAATGGGGGAGGCTGTGCATGTGTGGGAGGCAAAGAGTATGTGGGAAATTTCCCTACTTTCCTCTCATTTTTGTTGTGAACATAAAACTGCTCTAAAAATTTATTTTTAAAATAAAGTCTTCAGGCGGGGCGCGGTGGCTCATGCCTGTAATCCCAGCACTTTGGGAGGCCGAGGCAGTTTGATTGCTTGAATGCAGGAGTTCAAGACCAGCCTGGGCAACACGGTAAAACCCTGTCTCTACAAAAAATACAAAAATTAGCTGGGGGTGGTGGCCCATGCCTGTAATCAATCCCAACTACTTGGGAGGCTGAGGTCGGAGGATCACTTGAGCCTGGGAGGCAGAGGTTACAGTGAGCTGAGGTTGTGCCACTGCACTCCAGCCTGTGCAACAGAGTAAGACCCTGTCTCAAAAATAAATAAATAAAATATTTTTAAAAAACATACAAAAACGCATAATTGTCTTACAGTTTTGAAGGCCAGAATCCAAAATGGATCTCACTGGGCTAAAATCCAGTTGTCAGCAGGGCAGCATTCCTTCTACAGCCACTAAGGAAGAACCCATTCTCTCGCATTTCCTACCTTCTAGAGGCCACCTGTAATCCTTGGCTCATGGCCCCTTCCTCCATTTTCAAAGCCAGCAGTGCAGCACCTTCTAATCTCTCTTTGACCCGTCTTCTGTTGTCACAGCTCCTTCTCTGCCTCTGACCCATCTGCCTCCCTTCTAAGATCCCTGTGTTACTTTCAGACCCACCTGGATAATCCAGGATAGTCTCCCATCTCTAGATCCTTAACTTAATCCCATCTGTCCTATGTAGAAAGTAAGATAGCCGCAGGTTCTGCCATGAGAACATGGACATCTCTGGGGGCCATTTTTCTGCCTACCACAGTCTTCTTCATATCCATTTTTCAGATGGGGAACCTGAGGCACAGGGCAGCTCGGTAACTTCTCAGGTCTCACATGGGGCAAGTGGCTGAGCTGGGATTCAAAGGCACAGTCAAACTGCAGAGCCCAAGCCCTCCGTCTGTCCTGTGAGGTCACCTGGCAGGTGCAGAGATGTTTGAGCCTCTCCATTTGGCTGGAGAGCCAAGGACAGTAAGGAGGGCAAGGCAAGGGAGGTCAATGGCAGTGGTCCTGGGCACTGTGGAGGGGCTGGACCAGGTCCTGAGGGGTGTGCAATGTGAGCCCCACGAAGATCTGGCCTCCCCTTGGACTCACAGGCAGCGTGCACAGGAAGGCAAGCAGCAGACAGGGCCAGGGCCTACAAGTCTCAGCACAAGGATGCAGGCCAAGCAGACACCATGACCTCACAGCCTCAGTGGGTCCTGTGGACCTGCCTAGAGAACTTGGCCCCCATTGGGATGCTGGCATCTCACCCCCGTTCCATGAGAGGTGGATATATTTTGGCCAGAACTGTGGGAGAGAAAAACTTCAATTATCCTAATTGTTCAAATACTGTCTTCCAGTAGAAAAGAAATGAGATGTTAAACAAAAGGTGGGCGGGTGGTTGTAACAAAGACAGAGAGACTTAGGGTAGGAGGGAGAGTAGGGAGGAAGAGAGTCTCTCGGGAAGAGAGAGGAAGAGGAGGCAGCAAGGAGCTGCTGGTAGCAGCCAAGGAAGCAAGCTGCAGGCCGAGCAGACACCTTGACCTCATGGTCTGTGATGGTCTCTGTGGACCCGCCTAAGGAACTTGGCCTGCACAGGATGCGGAGGAAGCTGGGAGCTGCAGAACGCTGAGGCCGGCTGCTGGCAAATGCACTGAGAATCAGTGGTGGGCCAGGTAGGAGCCCCGAGCCCGGGGCAGACAGGGAGGCAGCTTGCATCAATTTACTGTGGGACCTTGAGCAAAGGCTTTTCTCTCTCTGGACCTCAGTTTCCCCATGTGAATTTGTGGAGAGGAGGGATCAGCCTGTTGCTCCACAGGGCTTCCTGTAGTGCAGAACCTCCCCTCCATCACCTGCCCTGGTGTTAACTGCCAGTAAGCCCTCCTCCCAGCCTCCAGAGGCTTTGCTGGCCACCTACACTCAGGAAGCACAGCCCAAGCCCAGCCAGGCTACTGTCTGGGAACCTGGAACCAGAGCCTGTACATACTCCTGGATGATGTGTCAAGGCTGCAGCAGAGGGCCCCACAAAGGGGGCTATAACCCAGCCCATGCCCCAGTTGCCACACGGCATGCCCACCCAAAGGCACGCTTGTGCTCCCTCCAGGCTGCTCCACCCCTGCCCTACTCCCACATTTACTTCCACTCACTTGCCCAGGGAAGGAAGCTCCTGGTCACTGATGCCCGGCTCAGGGCTCAGGACCATCCAGGAGACACCACCATCCACACCATTGCCCTTCTGTGGAAACTGTTCCCTGTCCTCATACCCAGCGTGGCCCAGGCCCCTGAGAGAAGGCAGCCTGCTGCCCTGAGAGCTGTGTCAGGAGACCTTGGACAGAGAGAATGAGAACTTGGGAAGAAACTGCCTCTGCCACTTCCTCCTGAGGGGTCTTGGAAAAGACCCTGAGCCTCTTCTCTGGGAGGGGCTATGATATCCCCTCGCCAGGCTGCTGAGAGTGTCAAATGAGACAACAGGGTGACCGTCCCCTACAAACTGGAAGACTCTACACAGAGGTAGTGTGGTTAGGATCACTCTTCATCAAGGACTCACACACAGCTATGATGTCAGAGGTTCCCTCCGTCTTTAAGACAGACCTAAGATGAATCAAATCCATATTCTCCTGTCCCCACAGGCCAGTCACAGTCTGGAGGGAATGCATTTAGGCAACTCTCTCCTTTCATCCTCAGAGCACCTCAAGAAGCAGGGACTGGTTCCTGCCCATTTCACAGATGAAGAAACTGAGACTCAGGGAGGCGAAGGGAGCCAAGGAGCACACAATATGTAGTGATCTGGATTCACACCAAGTGCACCTGCCTTCAAAGCCTGACGTACCTTAAACAGGGGACAGAGCTTAAGACAGGGAAGTCAGGGCTCAGGAATGTGCATAGGGAGGCCCTGGGAGAACAATAGAGGGGAGAGCTCCCTGACCGGGAGAAGAAGCACTGCAGCCGTGGGACCCACCTGGGTAGAGATTCGGAAGTGAACCTTGAAAACATCATGCTGAGTGAAAGAGGCTGTCGCAAAGGACCATATATTGTATAATTTCATTTATAGGAAACGTCCAGAATAGGTTAATCCAAAGAGACAGAAAGTAGATTGGCTGTTGCCAGGGGTTGGGTGGATTGGAGGAAAATGGGGAGTGACTGCCAATGGCTCCAGGGTTTCTTTCTGGGGTGATTAAAATGTTCTAAACAGATTGTGGTGATGGTTGCACAACTCTGTGAATATATCAAAAACACTTAGATTACACATTTTAAATGGGTGAATTGTATGTTAGGTGAATTAAATTAAGATTTCAGAAAAGCTGTTATTTTTTTAAAAAGGATAAGAAAATGAGTTGGACCTCTTGTTTAGCTAAAGGTGAAATCGTAGAGAGGTAGTGAAGAGCCTGGGTCAAATCCTGATCTACTGCTTGCTCTCTGTGTGATCCTGGGCAAGTCACTTAACTCCATGCCTCAGTTTCTGTACAACGGGGATAACAATACTTATATCTCTTAGGACTATGAAGTTGGAGTTAGATTATGTAAATAGCCGTACTTGAAAAGGCTTGGCTCATTATAAGTTCTAGATGAGTGCTTGCTGTTATTTTTATTATCTGAAGCAACACCAAGCATTTGCATGTTGTTTATGTAAAGTTGCATCCTCTGCTCTGCGATGCAGTGGCCTAAAATGCTTCCTCTTTGGAGGAAGGATTCATTCAGTCAGTCAACGAGCACTAATTTCTGCCTCTGTCTTGAACTTCTCTTCCAGATGCTCCTGGAGGGCTGAACCAGCACAGAAGTTACAAGGAAGTGATTTCTAAGACACCATTGACATCATCCTGCTTCAGGAATAAGTGAGAACATGAAATGCCTAGGTTTGAAACCGCCTTTCTTGAGTGAGGACTGCAAGGAGAACCTTGGATGCTTTTCAGATGCTGCCTGTGTTTCATGGTCTCTGAGATTTGCTTCCTAAACAAGATGAGGCACCTGAGCCATAAGGGTGTGGGATCAGCTTCACGGAGGCCAGCCTCAGCCACTGGTGGGCCGATTTGGGACAGTGACCCCCAATGTCAGATGTCCACATGATACTCACAGCCCACCCGGACTCTGGGACTTTCTCTGTGAATAAGCTAGTGAGACCGGAGGCCAAGCAGATGGCAAGCTGTGGCCCTCTCCATCATCTTCCTCGGAGGCCAAATTCCTCCTGAGAAAGGGTGCCTGGACCACCAGAAGCTTGGTAGGGAGAATAGGAGCCATGGACCCAGGAAACAGGCTACAGCTTCAAGGGTTGAGGCACTGTGTATGAGATGGAGAGAGTTGAGACAAGCTATTCCCCAGCCTCTTGTTCATTCTTCCGGCTAATGCAGGAATCATCGGGACATCATGTGAAAGACTGCATTCCAGAGGGCTTTGTAAGCTGTCCCCACTCGGGTCTGTTAGTCTCATTAGGAAAATCTGACCAACAGTGTAAGTGGTAGAACAGAGAAAGGCTATGTTGTGAAGTAGTGATCGCCCTGTCACACAGAAGTGTCCACACAGGGCAGGTGACAGATGAGCACCCATCAGGGCGTTCTGAAGCGGGTCCGTGTGCTGGCTGATCTGTGAAGCCCTATGGCCATTCTCCTCGGTGTCTGTCCCCCAAGCCTGAAGCTCAGTCAATGACAAAAGGCAGAAACCAAATGAGCTGGAAGGGGCCCCAGAGGCCATCTAGTCTAGCGCCTCTATTTGACCAAGGAAAAAACTGATTTTACAGATGAGAAGTTAACTTGCCCAAGGTCACGCAGCTCTTCAGGGCAGAGCCTGGAGTCTTAAATTGGCGTGTTCAATTGGGCCTGAAGTTGGACATAGGCAGCCAGACTTTCTGCTGAAAAAAACAGTTTCAAGACTTCATGTTCCAATTGTAGCTAAATGGCTTTTAATCAGATAAGGACACATCTCAAAAAGCACAGAAAATTTTAGAAAAATGTAGCTTTCCCTTAAGCACCGTTACAAGTAGCAATTGAAAAGTTACATGACATAAGATACAACAAGAATAACTTACGTGTGTTTAAAAGTATCCCACTTAGGCCAACAATAAACCGTTTACATTTTAGCTCATTTATCAGATGAGGAGGGTAAAGACCAGGGAAGCTTCAGCGAAGCAAGAACTAGAAGCTTGTGCTGACTCCAAAGCCACTCCTCCAAACAAAAGGTTTTTGCAATGACCCCAGGTATCCTAAAGTCATATGTTATCAAGAAATATATCAGTTTTAAAAGGCAGGGTAGCTAATTATCTAAGCAGCTTGCTGGCTACAAACGTCCCCTGAATTTCACTTTCTGAAGTGACAGCCTTCCCTGGGCTTTTGCTGGGATTTTGTCAGCTCCGGGGCACCATTTGGCTGCAAAACACTTGAGCTTGCTGTGAAATTGCCCATTTTAGATGGAAACACCTTTTTCTTTCTCTTTTATATAAAAAGTATATCCATGGCTTTTTTTCAAAGCTTTTCTATTAGCTACGCTGCTGTACTTGACTTTTCCTCAGAGAAAACACTTTGCTGTCTGTTGTCTGTGTGATCCAAACCACACCTGGAAATGGAACTTTCTCACCCCTCACACACCACCCTGCCTCTAACAACCTCCTGCCAACTCATTCTCGAGATGTTTTTCCCTAAGAGGAAGGGCAAGGGTTTGCTATATGATGGAGTGTGTGTCCCCCTCCAGCCAGCTTCTCTTACCTGTGGATCCCCCAGCTTCCTCCCGTGAAGCTGAAAAGGCCACGTGCAAACATGCACGCGCGTGCACCTACCCCTACAGGGGCTGCAGCTCTGGGGCCATTCTGTCCTTCCCCACACTGTGTCCTTTATAGGCCTTGCTTTTATCAGAGAAGGGCTTGCCTTCTTGATCAATGTTAAACTTGTTACCAAATTTGAAACGAAGTCTAAGTCAGAACCAAAGGTGAAATCCTCAAAGCTTCAGATTCTAAAAAACCATTCTGGGTAACGAAAGGGATCATTCTGACACACACCTGGTACAAAACACTAAAGTTAATCTAAAAAGAGACTGAAGAGTTGAGGTTTAATGAGCAAAGGAATTCATTTGTACTTAATATTGATGTATTTTTGGATATGCTCAAAAATGATGTGCCTCTTTATTTACAAAGGGAAAAATAGAGATTATCCAGGTTTATGCTACTATTTTAATAAAAAAGGATAATTTTCATAGAAAATACCACAAGTGATCATATGATAAGCCAAAAATGTCTTCTCCTTATTTATACCTAAGTTGATTCTAATCATTCAGCCTAAGCAAGCACATTTGCTGCTGGGAGCTCCTTAAATTACAAGCCATTTTCTTTTCCTCAAGACTAGATTATAAAAACCAAGTCTGAAAGGAATGGCCATCCTTTCACTCCTACCTCCAATAGCTTCAACATTCTCTGCCCACAGATATTAACTGGATATAGTAGACATTGATGGTCTGCCACGTAGCATTCAACTCCTTCTTACATTTTAGATAGACTTGATTTTCATTTGGGGTCACCCCTTCCCCATGTACATATGAAAGCCATGCTGTATGGAATACTGGTGCCTTGGTCCAAACCAATTGGCTCACCCCTTTTTTCTTGATTGTGATTGGTTCAGGTGTAAGCCAATGAGAACATACAACTCCCAGAAGGATGTGCTTGGAAAATTTGGGACAATGAACTGTCAAGCAAAGGTCACTGAAGTTATTAAAGAGAGTTGCATTATGACGATCCAGATATTTTTGCCTTTCTGAGCCCCTTCCCTCCTCCATTTTAATACTGCACCGGTATTAAGATGAATATATTAATATTACATCAAAACATTTTCTCCAATCTACAAGGTTTTTTTTCTTTTCTTCTTATTTTAAAATAAATTAAAACACTTTTGTGGGCTTCTAAAAGTATTCATGTGCCTCATGAATAACTGAGCCCTATTTCAGGATTGAGTTGACTCCAAATCCCACCCTACCTATGGGCTTCTCATTGTGAGCCCATGAATTTCTGTATGGTTTATGTCACTCTGCATGGCTCTTCTATTACTGACAGCCAAGGGTATCCAGATACCCTGGAACAACAGACACAAAGGATCACTGGGTGAGAAGCATCCAGAGAAGGCAGCCAAGCCCAAATCTGAAATCAGTCAAACCCTGACTTAAATCCCCCTGGCACTAGTCTTTCTGGGCCTTAATTTTCACATCTGTAAAGTGGAGATAACACCACCTAATAGGCAAGATCACTCAATGAGAGATGAGGTTGGCAGGGAGGTGGTGTTATTCACTACATGATGGTACTTAATGTCATGATCTTGCTTTCATCATTATGACTGAGAAGTGGCTGTGGATACCTGGCATCAGGTGACTGACACAGGCATTGTGAGGACTACAGGAGCTTGAGCAGTGGCCCAAAGACCTACTGAGGCAGGACAGACTTAATTTTCACCTCCTTTCATGTGCTTTTCCTTAGCTCAGCAGCAAGAGGGTAGAGAAATGATCAAAACACAGATAGCCAAAAGAGAAAAGAGAAGCAAAGAGAATTTGTTTAGAAAATTGGGAGACCACTAGGAATTGAGAAACTAAATTTTCAAGCCAGCAAAGACCACCCAATAAAGGAAAGGAGTCAGTGTGAGAGGCCTCAAGTCTCTGTTAAAAAAATGAAAAAGGAGAGTTGAATAGGATGGCTTTTAAGAGGACACCAACCTACCAATACTTTTAAACTATAGAGCTGCACCGTCCAACATTGGCAGCCACTAGCCACAGGTCACTATTATTTAAACTTAAATTAATTCAAATCAAATTTAATTTATCAATTCAGTTCCTTCGTTATTACACTAACCCCATTTCAAGTACTCACTAGCCACACGTGGCTGGTGGCTACCATTTGAGACAGCACAGATAGAGAACGGTGCCATTATCACAGGAATTTCTACTGCATAGCGCTGCTGGGGAGTGAAGAAAACATAACGAAATGCTATCTTAATATAAAAACTACCAGTGATACCCAACAAAATCAGACTAATTCTTGACTCAGAAATATCTCATGAACTTCCAAAATTAGACTGAGTTGATTTTCAACTCAGAAAACACCTCATGAACTTCAGTGGTGTGTCTATACACTTAAGAAAAAAGCAGCACAGGGTACAAAGTCCCAAAATCTGGATTCAGGCCTTGACTATCACACTTCCTGCCAGTGTGACCCTGGAAAAGATAACTAACCTTCCTAAGCCTCAGTTTCCTCATCTGTAAAGTGATAATAAAACTTTCTATCTTATTTGCTGCTATGATCACATTAGCTAACTGATGCATTCAACTAACATTTATTGAGGGTCTGCTATGTGCCAGCAACTATTTATTCAACACATTGAGGATAAAACAGGTAATGAATGGAACAGACAGATATCTCTGCCCTCACAGAGCTTACATTCTGAAAGATTTTAGCACATGTTAGCCATCAATCCTGATAATGTTAACAGTCTGACAATACTATGATTCATACTTGAATTTAATAGAGACTCAGTCCACTCTCAATTAGTTAGAATGTAATTTCAATTTTAAAGTAATCGAGTCCTCTAACTCATCTCCCTCCCAAATACAAATCTCAGCTAAAAGTTCTTTAAACTTATGTATGGCTTTGGATTACATCATAAAACCAAACACTTCACTATGACATTTGAATCTAATTCAAGAAAAAGATCTGATTTCAGCAGCTTTTAGTCCAGACTTTAGAAAAAATTAATTATGCATGCATTCAACTAGCAATGAGCAAACTTGATAATTTAGGCAGTTTAGCAATTGGATTGAAATTTTACAGCTAATTTAAAGTACTCTACACTACTGATTTCAGACTTGAGGTTATGAAGCTGAATTAGCCTGGACAAGAGCAAATACTCAGCACTTTCAGCACAAATTGCCTTGACTGGTTTGTAGGAAGCGAAATGACTGCTCACACCCAGCCCCAATTGTCTAGACACTAAGATGCCCCAGGGTGGTATGTATGCCAGGTAGCGTTTGTTCTGTGTTCTCTGAAGCAAGACTGGGTATCATTTATCCTTGTCTTCCCCAGGACCCTTCACAAATGAAAGAAGTATGTCCTAGTGGAAGGGTCACGGTGAGTTATAGCTGTGTGACTTTAGGCAAGCTCCTTAACCTCTCTAAGCCTCCAGTTTCCTCATCTGCAAAATGGAAATAATAACAATACCTCCCAGGTAGTTGTGAAGAAGTAGAGATAATGTATGTAAAATGTCTGGCCCAAACTAGGTGCTCAATAAATGGAGTTCCTTGCCTTATTCAGTGTGGCAGTTTTAAAACATGGCACCAAAACTCTTAAACATTCCTCCCCTTGAGTGGTGGGTTCTGTGCCCCCTCCTCCTGGACCTGAGCAGACTGTGATGGCTCTGATCAATATTGAGTATGGTGAGAGTGACACTATGGAACCTCTAAGACAAGGTTTCATAAAGTCTGTGCAGCTGCTTCCTGGCTGTCGTGGGATTCTGTCTCAAAACCCGGCCATCATGCTGGAGAAGCCAAAACCATGTGGAAAGGCTGTGGTCAGGTCATCTAGTCAACAGTCTCAGCTAAGCTCAGCCTTTGAGTCAACTCAGCCCATCAGGGTTTCCAACTGAGGGCCCAGTCATCATGGAGCAGGATAAGCCATCCCTGCTGTGGTCTGAATTTCTGATCCACAAAATCCTTGAGCATGATAAAATGGTTGCTTTTACCACTAAGTTTGGGATGGTTTGTTAAACAGCAATAAGTAACTGGAACACTCAGTAGGTTTCATTCGTTCACTCAACATTCACTGGTGCCTTCTAAGAGCAAAGAAGTGCAGTGAGCTCTGGAGAGCCTCAGGAAGTACAGGCTAGTGGAGAAGTATAAAAGTAAATAGCTAGTGGTGTGCTGGTAAATGTGTAATAAACAGCTGGGGTTTCGGGACACCCTAGGTTGTAGTGTTTGTAGATATCCGTGGTGTGAATATTCCTATCACTGCCAATTTCAAGGAACAAAAGTGAAGTCACCCAGCTTGGAAAATTCCTGAGAATTTAACCTCAGCTTTCATGAGCCAGTACCAGCCAGCTCCAGAACACCACTGTCAGGGTGGTGTGAGAAGTGTGAGAAGTGCTATGAAAAACGTGGCAAAATGTCAGGTGCAACTGGGTGCTGGCCAGTCCAGGGAATGGCAGCCATTTAAACCCAAAACTCTTAATGTCTTCTCCAAAAAACTATAAAGAATAAGAAGAACAGGCCAGGCGCAGTGGCTTACGCCCGTAATCCCAGCACTTCGAGAGGCCAAGGCAGGAGGATCACCTGAGGTCAGGAGTTCAAGAGCAGCCTGGCCAACGTGGTGAAACCCCGTCTCTACTAAAGATACAAAAAAAATAGCTGGGCATGGTGGCGTGCACCTGTAATCCCAGCTACTTGGGAGGCTGAGGTAGGAGAATCGCTTGAACCCGGAGGTGGAGGTTACAGTGAGCCGAGATCTCACCATTGCACTCCAGCCTGGGCAACAAGAGCGCGAGACTCCATCTCAAAAAAAAAAAAAAAAAAAGAATAAGAACAGATAAAAGGCCCATCCTCAATATCACCAGAAGACAGAGCATCAGACCACAATGCAAGTCGGACCCCAACTGCAGGAGCCAGGGCGGGGAGGGACGTGGAAGAGCCTTAGTCTGCAGTGCCTTTTTAGGGGTGCTCAGCAAGGTGGATGGAGAGTCCCCAAGTTAAAGGCATCCATCAGAGGAGTCCTGTGTTTCTCAGGAGTGGTTCTGCCTTTGTGTCCCCACTCAGCTCAGTGCCGGTTGGGAGCTGTCTACCAGAAGCATGGCCTCAGCATGAACATGGTAACCGGCTTCAGTGCACAGCCACTGAGCTGTGGTCAGTTACACTGGCCACTCCTGAGAGAGCACAGAGGTGAATTTTCAGAGCTGTCACACGGGGCTGAGTGGCCTAGAGGCAGACACCCAGGGAAGTGCAGTGGAGCCTTAAGTTGGGACCCCAACAGCATGCACGAGACTGCCGCTGACTATAGGAGTGCCTATTAGGTGTAGGGTAGGACAATAAGCATCAGCTCACCTCCCAACTGCCTCCCCACCCGACTTTGGGCCCTACTTCAGTCTATACACGCAGGGAGGCCTAGCCAAAAAGAATGTGGAACTTCTAAATGTGAGCCCGCTGCATGGGTGTAATTTTTAAATTCTATTTGTAATGGATTGCCTAGTGTCCCCGTGAAATTCACGTCCACCTGGAACCCCAGAATGTGACTTCATTTGGAAATAGGGTCTTTGCTGATATAATCAGTTAAGGATCTTGAGATGAAATAATCCTGGATTGAGAACAGGCCCTAAATCCAATGACTGATAACCCTGTAAGAAGAGAATAAGACACAGAGACACAAAATGAAGAAGGCCGCTTGAGGACCGAGGCAGAGATGGGCGTGATGGTGCCACAAGCCAAAGAACACCAGAGCCACCAGAGCTGGAAGAGGCAAGGAGGATCCTGCCCTAGTCTTCAGAGGAAGCAGGGCCCTGCTGACACCTTAATTTTGGACTTCTAGCCTCCAGAACTGTGAGCTAATAAATTTCTATTGTTTTAAGCCACCCAGTCTCTGGTTGTTTTTTATGGCAGCCCTGGGAAATGATAGACTATACTATCCCGATCAAAAGTGTAGACATCAAGGGTTGGAGGAAGGAAAGCAACAACCTAACGAGTGATCCTTGGAACTGGAACGCATGCGACCCATGCCTCTCCCCCTCTGTCACGCCTCCTGCTCACACACCTCCAGTGCAGGAGAACTTAACTACATTTAGGTGAGGCCACTTCTGTTTCCGGCAACTCCCACAAAGCCCCTCCCTTATACTGACATAAATATCTGCCTCTCTGTAATCCCTAGCTTCCAGCCTAGCTTTGTTTTCTGAGAGCTGGCCTGCTTTCAACAGCCCATCTCCTGCTAAATCTTCCTACAGGCTACTCAGTCCCAGTTCCTTTAAGGAATAATGTAACTTACTCGAAATACAACAATGAACCAGAATATGCAAATGATCTTATCAGCTGTATAAAGCTCTATAAAGACAATCTTTCCCTGATTAGCATACTGCTCTGCCTCTATTTTCACCAGGGATTCACAAAACTGGCACACCCAGAACTTCTAGCAACCACAGGGCATTTGGGGACAGCCACTGAGGTTGGGTGGGCACACCAGACCCAAGTTCAGGAAGAGTGGTCCCTTCATTCCACAGGCCTCTAGAGAGTGACTCCCAGGTGCCAGAGTGTGGGCTGGCCATAGGGGTGGCATGGGGAGGATGGGAGTTGAGGGTGGGGGACACTCAGAGGGCTAGAGAGGAATGGAGTAATTGTCAGGAAGTTACTCCCGCAACAACCATGAGGGAGACAGAGCCAGAACTACTGCCTAGAACTCTCAGCATGACTCATTTACCTGTCATACTCTAACTTCAACAAAAAGAAAGACACACACAGAGGCAAGAGGTGTGACCGCCTCTTGAGGTGGAATCAGGGCAGGCTTCTAGAAAGAGGTGTCTGTAGGTTGGGTCTTTAAGTCAGATGTGACAATCTGAAAAAAATAGACAGACCAGGCAGAAGGAACTTCTGAATCTTTAGACCATGTTCAAGGAATGAGGACAAGTTCACTGTGGCTGGAGTATTTGCAAATCAAAGAGATAAGAATAGAAGTTGAAGTCAAACATGGTCTTAGACTGGGTACAGGATTCCTCTCTTTAGCTGTGTTTTCCCATGAGACTGGGCATTGATGGTGGTTCTCAAACTTGAGTTTGTATTAGAAGTCACCTGTGGAGCCTGCTTCACAACCAGACTCTAGCCTTGCCACACAGTGTCCCTTGCATACCCCACCATGCACCCGGTTCTGACTCCATGCATCAAAGTGGAGCCTGGACTTCTGCATCACCATGGGGCCACGGTGATTCCAAGACAGGAGTCGCAGATCTCACCTGGGAAGTAGTCCTGGGCTTCTTACCTTCTCCATTATGAAAAATGATGTGGGTGGCATAACAACATATTAGGTCATGCCAGAAATACTGGCAATTTAAGTTCATATGAAAAAAATGCACTGGGGAAAGAAAACCAATTTCAAGTCTCCATCAAAGTACCCGGCAAAAATGAAAGGCCAAGAATTTTCAAAAAATTACCTCTGCAGGCAGAGCAGTGGCTTCTGGGGCTGCCACTCTCCCCCTGAGCCTCAGAGTCTGCCTATACTTTGCAGAGAGGGGCCCTCAGGTCATTTCAGGGTGAGCGCACTTGGGGTGTAGCCCCAGTGTCTCAGATGAAACTGAATCATGCCCTTGGAGACAGGTCATTTCTTCACAAAGGGGCTACCAGGATTGACACAGACATTGCATTTTATTTTTCTTTCCTTTCTTTTTTTTTTTTTTTTTTTTTTTTTTGAGATGGAGTCTCACTCTGTCACCCAGGCTGGAGTGCAGTGGCGTGATCTCAGCTCACTGCAACCCCCACCTCCTGGGTTCAAGCAATTCTCCCGCCTCAGCCTCCCAAGTAGCTGGGACTACAGATGCATGCTGCCATAGCTGGCTAATTTTTTGTATTTTAGTAGAGATGGGGTTTTACTGTGTTGCCCAGGCTGGTCTTGAACTCCTGAGCTCAGGCAATCTGCCCACCTCAGCCTCCCAAAGTGCTGCATTTTGTTTTTGAAAAGCAAAAATGGATTTCAGAAGCAAGAATTTGGGAAGCAAAGCATCTCAGAAGCAGATGTTCCTTTGGGCCAATCTCCCAACCCACACTAAAATGTCTCCAAATACCTCACTCCGAATTGCCCATAAATGCAGAGTCCCGGGCCCTCCTTGGAAGACTCTGGTTTGGTGGGTCTATAGTAGAGCCAAGGAATTCTTGAGGGGAGGAACGTTTGGAAACAGTTAGCTCACCCGGCCTCTTCTTACAAACTTCCAAGGACAGGGAGGGCCTTCCTTTCAAGGGCAACCCATCCCAACTTTGAAGAGCTGCAACCCTTAAAAACTTTCATCTGATATCGAACTGAAAACTTCCTCCTGTGCCCAAGTGCTCCAGGTTCCCAGCCTCTGCAGTGAGTCCAAGTAAAATCTAATCCTTCTGTGACAGGCTGCCTGGTACGAAAGTCTACACACAGGACTTACCTACTGACTGCACGTGCTGCATGCGAAAAGGGAGACACAGTTGGCTACTTTGGGAACCTTTAACATCCCCCTCCCCAAGCCCTTTCTTGTGTTCCTGCCCTCCTGTTTCCTAAGAGAAAGGAGAGAATAATGGCATTAATAAAAATTATTTATTGAATGCTTACTGTAGTAGGCAGAATAATGGCCCCCCAAGAATGCCCACATCCTAATTCCCAGAACTTGCATGAGGTTAGATGGCAATGGGGAATTAGATTGAAGATAAAATTAAGGTTGCTAATCAGCTGACCTTAAAGTAGGGAGCTCACAGTGGATGATTCATGTGGATCTGTAATTACAAGCATCCTTAAAAGTGGAACAGGGAGGCAGGAGGGTGAGTACCCAGTGATGTCATGTAAAAAAGACTTGACCAGCCATTATTGCCTTTGAAGATCCAAGGGGACCATGAGCCAAGAAATGTAGGCAGCTTCTAGAAGCTGGAAAAGGCAAGAAAAAAGATTGTCCCCTAAAGCCTCCAGAAGGAAAGCAGCTCTGCTGACACCCGGATGTTAGCCCACCAAGCCCCATGTTGGGTTTCTGACCTCCAGAACTATCAGATAATAAAGTTGTGTTTGTTCAAGCCACTAAATTTATGGTCATTTGTTACAGCAGCAAGAGAAATCTAATGCACTTACTATAGGCCAGATGATATAGTAACATACTATATACTGGATAGTGTACATGTAGTATTCCATTTAACAAAAACTTAAGGATAGGTGTTTTTATTCCCCTTTGACATATGAGAAAACTGAGGCATGGATAAACTAAATAACCTGCCCGGGGTCATACAGACAGAGTGGTAGAGCCTGGATTCAAATCCAGTTCTGTCTCCAAAATCCTTTATGAAGAAAGGGTGGGGAGGAAAATGAGGAGCTAAAATTAACAGTAAGAAAATGGGAACAAAGAGATGAAAATATCTGGAAGGAAAGACCCAGAACAAAATACATAATCACAATACAGTTACCCCAAGGTTGTCCTAGGATTCCTAAGAAATGCCTATGGTCCAAGTCTGAAACCACAGACTCAAATCATCAGAGTTGTGAGCGTGCTTGAAGACAGTCTAGGTCAAACCCATCAGGTTAAAGCTGGGGAGAATAAGATCCAAAGAGAATAACTACCTTGTCCAAGAGGACAGAGAAGCGAAGCAGAGATGGGGCTGGAACCCAGTGCCCAGGGCCTCTCTGTGGCAGGCCAGCTCTCACTAATGCAGGCCCTGTTTTAGTACTGACCGAGTGGTTAAGATAAATATTAAAAGTTGAAAGAGCCAGTGCCTTTATACAAAGGCTGGATACAAAAACCCACCAAGAGTTTTGCATAGGCCTTTCCTGAGACTTATAGCATGACAAGATAATGAAAGAATTCTTAACAGGACCCATTTAGGATTAAACAAGTTTTATTGAGAGTCTGAAGAAACTCCCCAGGCCTCCACAAACAAGTTTATTGAGGGTCTAAAGGAATGCCCCAAACCTGTGATTTAGCAAAAGACAAGATAAAGGTAATCACCCCAGCACCTGGACCCATTTAGATTAAGTAAATTTACTGAGGCTCCAGAGGAAGGTCTTCCGAACTCAGATCTTAGTTATAGATTAAAAAGTTAATCACTTCTGTCTTTAGATGAATGCACACTTACACATAGACATGTAGTTAGGAGGTATATAAGCTCTGGAAGACTTTGTAATTTTGAGTTGGTCTGGTGATATTTTCCAGGCCTTTTCCCTATAACCAGTTACAGAAATAAAAACTCTCTTCCTCCCCAGTTCATCTGCATCTCATTATTGGGCCACAAGAAATAGCAGCCCGATACTTAGTTTGGTCCAGGAACACCTCCAGTGCTGGTTTCTCCATACCCCTCACCCTGGCCCTCCTTTCCTCCTTCCAGAAGAGTCTGTGAAGGCCCATGAGTGGCTAAGGTGAGTGGGTCACTCCATCCAGAGCACATTGAAGGAGATGCTGGGAGCCCTGCACCTATAATGTCTCAAAGCAGTGTCCTCACCTGGCAAGGCCTCTTGCTCCTAGATGGGCCAGCAATCATGACACAAACAGGCCACAGTCACCCAGATTATCCATTGTGTGTGCTACCATCTGTCACCACCTTGCATGTTTGGGTTGACCTGCACCATCACACTAATGAAGATAGCAGCTGCCAGAAGACTGTCATTGCCCTGGAAATGGACTTTAGGGACCCAGGGCCTCCCCCACCACCCCTGGGAGAGGAAAAACAGCACACCTTGCAGCGACACACTTTTCTTACAAATACAACTTAATTAACCTGGCATAAATTGTAGCCTCATATCTAATCATCAACCATTGTTCTCACACACGCATAGACAAAAAAAAAAAAAATTCAAATACAAGACCCACTTACAATGGTTCAAGAAAATTCTGGTTTTCCACACTCTGCTTTAGAAAGCACCTCCTACTATCCCCTTCCCTGACCCAGAAGCCTGTTCCCAGAGATCCAGCTGCTGGCTTGCAACTTGCAGTGTCTGCATTGTCACTGCCAGCTGCCAGCTCCAAGGGTCCCGGTGGTCTCATTAAAAATAGCCTTATCTCGGGAGGCACTCTGCTGATTCTGAGACCTGCCCTGCCCGGCCTGGGAGAAAACAAGGCATTTCCCACCATTCCGATTCCTCCTTCCTAGCCAGAGAAAGAGACAGCATAGTGGCAACCAGGACAGGTAGTCTTCCATCACCTTGAACTGTCTCTGAAACTCCATTCTTACCTCTTTCCCTGGCAATTGCCTTATTTGCATTTAAAAGGGATTCTTGGCTTAATTCCACTAAGTTCAACTTTTAAGACCTCCATTTTATTTGAATAGTTTTTAAAGTTTTGAGCCTTTGAAAATACAACCATATATATATATATATATATATATAAACAATCTGATAGTAATTTTCTCAAAACAGCTGAAAGTCCCCTTGATAAGGGCAGGGGCAGGGTCTTATTCACTTTTGGATCTGCTGTACCTATAGCACACAGTAGGTGCACCAGTAACACATGTTGAACTGAATTCAATCCCCTAACCTTACATATCCCGGGGATAGACTCATAAACTCCATTAGTCATGGACATTATGAATCTCACTCTGCTCTCTACACTCAGCTGCTAACTGCCAAAGACACAGTAAACCTGCTGGTGGCATACAGGGGCAGATTACCCTCATCTGGCAAGGCATAGTGCAAATACCCCTTCCTCCATGAAACCACTCTGATGCCCCAGGTCCTGCTGGCCAGAAACCACCCTCCGTGATGCTGAGGGACCACAGACAGAACAGTCCTACCAGGTACCATACATGGATGTACATGGAGTGTACGAGATGCCCTCTGGGGGAAAAGAGGTGCCACAGACAGAAAAGGATCATTCTAGGCTTTGGGTAAGCTGTGTTTTGCGGGCCCAGAGCAGGGAGAATTCTAACCCCCTGGAGAGGAGGAGGAGGGTAAGGCATCTTGGAGGACTTCATGGAGGAGGTTCCTTCTGAGCAGTGTGGGCAGTAGTCAGGCTCTGCAAGGTGAGAAGAATCACACTGCGGAGACTCAGAGATTCTGAGACAGGGCAGTGTGCCTGAGGGACACACGAGCTGATCAGTAGGTCTGATGCATGGAATGTGGAGTAAGATATTAACAGACTGAATATGGCTGAGTTTCTGAAATTTCTGGAGCCTCAGTTTCCCCGTTTGCAAAATGGAGATAGTAAGATCTGCCTCCTCAGTGATTCTCAACCCTTAGCACACGTAAGAAAAGCCTGGAGGCCTTACTGAAATGCACATACCTGGGCTTCCTTCTCCCCTCCACCCCTATTGAGGCACTTACAGAGTCTGATTCCAGAGGTCTGAGGTAGAACACAAAAATCTGTGGTTTGGTTTTTTTTTTTTTTTTCTTTTTGAGACGAAGTCTTGCTCTGTTGCCCAGGCTGGAGTGCAGTGGCACGATCTCGGCTCACTACAACCTCTGCCTCCTGGGTTCAAGTAATTCTCCTGCCTCAGCATCCCTAGTAGCTGGGATTACAGGCACACACCACCATGCCCAGCTATTTTTTTTTTTTTTTTTTAGTAGAGACAGGGTTTCACCATGTTGGTCAGGCTGGTCTCGAACTCCTGACCTCAGGTGATCCGCCCACCTCGGCCTCCCAAAGTGCTCGGATTACAGGCGTGAGCCACCACACGTCCAGCCAAAAATCTGTGTTTTAAAGTCCCCTCCTTCAGATACCTGTCACAGCATTCTCATGGGGTAAGAGGGAAGTCCACGAACCCATAAATCACTGATTCAGTTATTTTAGGACCTAAGTTATCCAAGGTACATAAAGCAACGGGCATGCATGTGGCACACAGTGCTGCTCATAAAGTGAGTTCCTCTTCCTTCCTCTGTCTTTGCTCCCGAAATTTATTGATTGCACAGGTTTTGAGTAGAGAATCCATTCTGCCTTAATTTTAGGTAGAGGTCCTTTTCATGTTTCTATGTTGGTTTCTGTGTCTGCTTCCCCCAAACAAGACCGTGAGCTCCTTAAGAGGAGGAACCAAATTATTAATAGCATCTCTGGCATCCAGCAGGGCCCTGGCCAGGTAAGTGTTTTAGAATAAAAGGAGAGAAGGCAGCACCACCCCCACAGTCCCTGAGCCTGGCTCCATGTTAATTGTGCAGTAAGTAGGTCGATGGGCTAGGGGGACCCCAACGGCCTCACTCGAGGAGAGAACAGGGGCGATTCGAGGAGTGGTAAGAATGAAATCCATCAAAAAGCAAGGCTCCTCCAGCACGGCTACTTCCCGCTTACGGCAGCCCTGGGAACAGTTCTGCTTCCAGGGCGCATTAAGTACAAGCTGCTTGACCACTCAACAAGTCCTTTATGACATTTCCAGACTCTCAGACCAGAATAATATTAATGAAAGTTTCATGCCCTGATAAATAGTTCATCAACAACCAAGGAAGGTAACGGCCTCCCCCTCCTCCCAGAGAGCCAGCTGGGAACCCCACGCTTCCTCCTCTCCTTCCTCAGTCTCCTCGTCCAATTAGCCACTGAGGCCCACTGCCTCCAGCATCTGCTCCTGTCCCTCCAGCCCCTGCCCTAGCACTAACACAGACCCCACAGCTTCTCAGCTGGACATTGGCAACAGACTCCTCAGCAGTCTCTATGCCTCTTCCAGCCCATTCCCCATGCCGTCCTAAGAATCTTCTTGCATCTCAGCTAGGAATTTATCATGTCCTTCCTCAAAAGCCTGCAATGGAGTCAAGTGCAAATGTTTCAACTTGACCATCAAGCTCCTCTGAGGTCTGGTCTAACCTAGCTTTCTTTCTCATCTCCCACCACTCTGTTTCCTACACCATTCCCTCTAGCCCAGTGTTTTCAAACTGCAGATCCCACCCTATGAGTGAGACATCATATTATTTTAGCACATCTTGAGCAGGAATTTTTAATGGAACAGAATAGGTGTGCATCATACATAGGAAGTTTTCATTTTGTGAAAATTCTGTTTTAGGCGTGCGCGTGTGTGTGTAGGTGTGAATGCACTGTAACACATTATGAAATGCACATCTTACTGTGGATCTGTCAGAAAGATTTGAAAAGCGCTTCTCAGGCCATGCTGAATTCACTGCTCCTCTGCTCTGTTCTCTGTGCACTGTTTCATCACCATAGTTTCCCACACGAGTCCCTCCTCCTGCACTGTCTCCCTCGCCTCTCTCTACCTGCCACCTCCATCTATCCACATCATAAGCATTCTTCCAGGCTGTCTTAGCTGATCTCTCCCAGAAGCAGACTCTGAGATAAAGATGTGTATTTGGGAAGTGATCCCAAAAGGCATGGGTAATGAAGTGGAAAAGTGAAGCAAAAGGGACTGGAACCAATCCAGGGGGCACTGTTGAGCAGGACCCTGCCATGGGCAACTGCAGTTCCCACTGGGCACTCGGAGGGGAGAGGGAGCTGAGATATTCACCCACCAACCCTGCCAGCCACTGCTGTGAGATCCTAGCAGAGGGAAATTGCCAGGGCAGCATGCAACGGCATAGAGAGTGCCCAAGAGCGATGGATGGGGCAGCGACAGGGGTGGCTACACAGGTTCTAGACAAAAGTCATTTCCTCCATGGAATCTGCTTTTCTGCTCTGCCATGCTCAATACTCACGTGCCCACACAGGCACACAGAGGTGTCATGGTTCCAGTTGCATAGTGGACATTCTTTCCACTGTCTTTGTTCCTGAAATTCACTGATAGAAAGATTTTAAGAGAGAAGAGAGCCTATTCTGCCTTTATTTTAGTTGGAGCCCGTTCTTTTCTTTCTATGTCTGTTTCTGTGTCTGCTTTGCCAGATAAGACCACGAGCTCCTTGCGCAGAGGGACGGAATTAGCTCAATATTCATACCTTCTTCTTCCTGGAAAGAAACCCATATTTTCCTTGGGGAACTGCCCTTCTTCCACCCTTAATCCATGTGAGCCAACTGTATCCCTGTGGCCACAGGGACTAGGGCAGAGATGGGCACAGCCCCCAGTAGGCCCAATGAAGCTCAATCTGAGGATATTTGTTTACTCTGTTAGGAAAAAGAATCATTTCTTTGCTGGCATTGCTGAAAACTGCTAACTGCCATGTTGCCACCAAGAGGAGAAAAGCTTCAAGAGAACAGAGCCAACACCCAGGAAGGGAAGGGACAAGGGAGCCAAGTCCTGGTGACACTGCCTAAGCCTCCGGGGGCTAGCCTTCCCCAAAGTTTCTGAATGATTCAGTTCTGAGCCAATCAATTCTGTTTCCCTCCTGAAATTAGCTAGAACTGAGTTTCTGTCACTTACAACCCAGAATACCATCCAGTGCCACCTGTTGTCTCTCCCTCACTGCACTGTCACCTGGAAAGCGGAGCGATGACCCATCCGGATCTTCACATTGCCCAACACACAGCAGGGAAAGATGGTGTCTACACAGATAGTTGTGGTGCAGACGCCACCCAAACACACTTGCAGCCCTGACCACTGGCAAACATAGACACATGATCACTGACCAGTCATAATCATGACCTCCAAAGCAGATGTGGTGGATAATTACACACATTGTGGGCAGCAAAGAGCAGAAAGGATAAGACAGTGGGAAAGGAGTCAGGGAACTGAAACAGATCTTGGTTGCCTGTGTCAATCTAAAAGGAACCCTGGGTTTAACATGGGGACCTTGGAATTTGCCAGCATGTTAACCCAGATTCAGCCCCAGAGAGGCCTCTAGTGCAGGACAGTTCTCCAGGTGGCCTTGGGCCAACCCGGTTCTCCTGGCTTTCTCACTTGTAGTTCTCAAGAATAACTGCAGAAGATACTGGGAATGGGCTGGGCGTGGTGGCTCATGCCTGTAATCCCAGCACTTCGGGAGGCTGAGGTGGGTGGATCACCTGAGGTTGAGAGTTCGAGACCAGCTTGGCCAACATAGCGAAACCCCATCTCTACTAAAAACACAAAAATTAGCTGGGCATAGTGGCAGCCACAGCTACTCAGGAGGCTGAGGCAGGAAAATTGCTTGAACCTTGGAGACAGAGGCTGCAGTAAGCCAAGATCATGCCACTGCACTCCAACCTGGGTGACAGAGCAAGACACTATCTCAAAAATGAAAAAATAAAAAACAAAAGAAGATACTGGGAATGTAACATTCTGATATAAGGTTGGACTGGCCAGAACAACTAGGTCCTGCTCCTGTCCCTGCTACAAAGAGGATATCCTTCAGCACTTTAGCCCAGCAATATATGTTACCCCAAGGTATAAAACCCAGGGCGGGCTGTTTTCTGGGGTCCCTCAGCTTCGGACCAAGTGAGGCACACGCTGACAAGACTCCATTCATTCTGGACAGCTTTCCTGAGCCTTGAGAGACTGGCTTGCCATGAATCCTAGGCTTCTGTCGACCCTTGTTGCCTACCTGTAGGGAATAAACCACTTCATGTAATTTGTATGTGAGTGTTCTGCCTCACCAGACTCAGGCAAGCAGGCAAAGTGCAGCCCAAGGTGCAATGGGCTGCAGTGGTAACCAGCATGTAGTGAATCTACTTTGCACCTAGAAGCACAATTTGTCAGAGCTGGGAGACTAAAAGCATAGCGTCCAGCCTTGGGGAGTGGCAGGGCTGGTCTGAGGTTACTTAGCAAGCTGGTGGCATCTCTGGAACTAGAAGCTGGGCTGATGCTCTTCCCATTGCATGGGAAAGAAGCTAGAAGAAGGGTGTCTAGTTCACTCTGTTACTATCATCAGAGTGTTGAAGTTGGAGGGCTACCCTGCACCTTCAGCCTTTCCTCTCTCCATCAACCACTCTCATCAGGATTTTCTCCAGGGTGAATTCACCAGTGCTCAGAAAACTATCAGCAACTGAGTCCCCACCCCACCCCTAAGGTTCTGAATGTCCCTGTGTATGCGAAAGCCCCATTCTCCAGCCCTGCCTGGGACCAGGGACAGTGTGGGCAGGATACTTCTAATTAACAGGAGTACAGTTCCTTTGGGAACTTCCCCTACTGCAGCCAAGCATGTATATTGAGCACTATTGAACCTTCAATAACAAAAGCAATAATAATAATAACAGCAGCAGCTAAGCTAGTAAGTATTGCTTGGTGCTTCCTATGGGCTAGGCACTAAGTGCTTTACATAGACTAACTCATTTAATCCTCACACAAGTTCTATGAGGTAAGTACCATTATTATTTTCATTTTGTAGATGAAGAAATGGAAGCACACAAAGTGTAAATAACTTGCCCACAATTACCTAGCAAACAGCAGGCCAGGATGTAAATCCAGGCAGTCTGGCTCCGGGATCCCTGTTGATGAGCACTGTAATACTTTCTCTGGGCGGAAAAGGGTTAACACAGCGGGTCTGAGACTGTGTCCCTAGAAAGATCTGCTGGAGAGGTTGGCCTTGGGCTGGTATCTGGGGACTTGGACTTCAAGAGAGTTCCCACTCCCCTCTGATAAGAATGGCTCACTGGGCCTAAATTGTTTGTGCAGACAATATGGTTCCTACTAAACACCTGCTTTCCTTCTGGGAGTGTGGAATTTTGGTATGTGTTAAGCAGAGGGTGCCTACATGCCCAGTGCCCAATAAAAACCTTGCACACTGAGACTCTAATGAGCTTTCCTGGTAGAAACACTTCACAGTGCTGTTACCATTGGTTGCTGGGGGAGTTGAGTGTGTCCTATGTGACTCCACCGGGAGAGGACTCCTGGAAGCTCGCACCTGGTTTCCTCTGGACTTCTCCCCACCAGCCTATTCCCTTTGCGGATTCTGCTTTGTATCCTTTTGCTGTAATAAATCATAGCTGTGAGTACAACTGGATGTTTATTGTACTCTGAGTCCCTCTAGCAAATTATCGAGCCTAGAGGTGGTCTTGGGGACTCCAACGCATCTTCAAAAGCCCTAAAGCTATCATCTGAAAGAACATCATAGGAAGTCTTCGTTCAGTTGGTCTTGGGTGACATTGTTCAGAGGCCCTTCCTCATATGTTACAACAGACTATCTCTCTGGTATTGCAGGATGGCTTACAATGGGTTGTCCAGCACTGGGCTGGCACAAAGTCCCAAGGCTAGCAGAGTTCTCTGGGAGCTATCTCCCAGAGGGTCCTCCCACACCTATCTTGTCCCCACAGGGCATCAAAAGTAGGCCTTCAGTGATGAGCAATGCCAGCAATGTGGTTTTACTTACAGAGAAAGCGAGGCTCAGAATGGTTGTGTGACATCTTCAAGGACTAGAACCTAGGTCTCTTTTGACTTCCTATCCAGGGGTCCCCCATGATCTGTCTCAGAGGGCAGTACCAGGCACAATGAGAAGAGGCAGGGAGGATATCTGTTTGCAATATAAGAAAAAATAAATACCCTTTCTGAATTAGGGTACGCTTCTAAATAAATTGAACAAACACAGGTGAAGTGCTGGACTTCTGGAGATGCTAGAGGACTAGGCACAGTCCCTGTGCTATAGAGCTCACCTCTAGGAAGAGGCCTCCTTTGAAGGACTGAGTTGCCCATCACTGGGAATGACAGGCCCATTCGTACATTGTCAGATCTAGCATCTGACCCTGCGATTCAGCAATTTTGCATTTACCTGATCATGCCAGACCTGCACCCTTTCACACAGCTCTATTCTTTCTCCGACACTTCCTCTGCTCCACATTCTCCTCCAGAGAAAGCCCAGCCCAGGAAATGCGCAGGTGGCTGCCGGAGAAGATGTAGAGGGCTTTGGAAACAGATGGCCTCAAGTTTGATCTCAGCTCTACCTCACACTAGCTCTGGGATTCTGGCAAGTTCCATAAGGCTCTGACTCTCCGCTTCTTTATCTGTGAATAACAGGGGCGGAGGAGACTGCATGAAACCCAAACCTGGCCCCGAGCCTGGCACCCGACGGGTTGTGCCCTATCCCCCTGGATACTGAGTGCTGGATGTACCAGTTTTATGAATAGGCCACCTACTTTCCCTTCCTTGCTCCACCAACAGGAGGAAGAATTAGGTTAATTACATTGAGAAGAAATGCAAGAGGGTAATAAGCTCTCTGATCCCATCTTTTGTTCATAAGTTAAATAAATGTAAAAGTTGCTACTCAAGTGATGTTAAAATATTTGACCTCATTACCTCGAGCGCTGGCTCTGATACGAAGGTTAGTCACTGAAAAGATGCCAGTTATTCAAGTACAATTCTCATATATAAGAATGAATACCATCCATACACTGTCGATTGAAATGGTCATTATTTGTTAAGTGTTTGGTTTTTTTTTTTTTCTCCAAATAAATTGACAGCAAAAGGAAAGAAACCTGCCAACAGTCATGGCCCCTGAGAAGTGGACTCTTCATTAAGTCCCCTTCCCCTTTCTATCATTAATCATACAGGGTGTGTGTGTGTGTGTGTGTGTGTGTGTGTGTGTGTATAGATAGATAGATAGATAGATAGATAGATAGATAGATAGAGTCTTACTCTGTCACCCAGGCTGGAGTACAGTGGCGCGATCTCGGCTCACTGCAACCTCTGCCTCCTGGGTTCAAGCCATTCTCCCACCTCAGCCTCCTGAGTAGCTGGGATTACAGGCAGCTGCCACCACGCCCAGCTAATTTTTGTATTTTTTAGTAGAGATGGGGTTTCACCATGTTGGCCAGGCTGGTCTCGAACCCCTGACCTCAGGTGATCCACCCACCTCAGCCTCCCAAAGTGCTGGGATTACAGGCATGAGCCACCGCACCTGGCCCATACAGGATATACTTCTACCACCCAACGGCATTTAAAGATGCATCTCCACGTTTTGACATCACCTTCAAATTTGCCGCTTTAAGGGAGGTATGACAGTGGCAAGTACTTGACAGCGCCTCTCCAGGCCCTGCTCTGCCACAGGTCACTCCTCCCACTTCTCCCTCTCCAAGTCTCAGTTTCTTCTTCTGTCACATGATGGGTCTGGACTAGATCAGGGGTTACCAAACCTAGCTTAGTTAGCATCATAATCAATTGAATAGCTTTTAAATACCGACATTCCAGGCCTTACCCCAACCCCAACCCACAGAATGAACCTTTCGAGAATGGGGCCTGGAAATCTGGATGTTTAGCAAGACCCCTTCCCCAGAGGACTCAGTCTGGTGTCCAGCCACAGACCAGCTGGACTAGAATACTATTAAGTTTCTTCCAGTATTGATATTCTACCTTTGGGATGACCTCACTGAACTAATACCTGGTGATAATTCCCCAATTTCTAGGCATCTGAGTTACTTTCCATTTTCCTAAATATGATTCTTTTTAAATGGGTCATGCTGGCTATCATTTTTCTTCATTCACAGGCATCAACAGAAAACACAGAGCCCAAAGGAAAGTCCGCAACCTAAAGGTCCATTAAAAAGTGATGGATGTCTCCAAATCCAGGTCAGTTTCAAAGGCAGATTTCTCCTGATTCATCTCTCAGTGATGAAAGGGCAGAGCTGGGTGAATTTGATTTAAATCTAACTGATTTAACTCACCAGTCAGGAAGACTCAATTTGACCAATTTTTCTCCTGCAAAAGATGTATTCTTTTTTCAGAAAGATAACCTTAGAGCCTCCTTTACAGCTCAGAGGCAAATGTAGTTTTCTTCTTTGTTAAAAAATACTGATTTTATTAGGATTGAAGCATCCTGGAATTTCAAAGCTGGAAAGACTGAGTGGTCACCCAGTTTCGCCCCTTACGGCCCCAAAGAGTTAGTGAGTGACAGGGAAGGAGGAGAATGCCTTCTCCACCACACCCACTGCCTCCAGCTTAATTTAGTCCTTCCCAGGGATCCCATGGCTACAAAAGAACACTCAACAATGTCTTCATTTTCCTTTTACCCAAAATTGACTGCAGCGGTGGGATACAAACAGCAGCAAAATAAGAAGAATGCGTTCCTCCTCAATTCACAAGCCCGGGGACTAAGGTTCAGTCACTTAGAAATAAGACTCTCCATTTGAAAGTGCCGCAACAATACAAAATATGCCTGTGTTCATGCCTACAGGAAAAACAGGTTGAGAAAAATAGGTATAATGAATGGTAGGATTAATGATTTTCTTCTCCATTTTCCAAAATAGTGTTGTTTCAAAAATATGTACAAACTTTACAAAAAACAAATGAAGCTCTTGGAAAGGTGGCATCCAGGGACTATTGGGAAGAGAGAGGTGGCCATTTACCTTGCTTTATTTCCACTCAATGACATGACCATCTATTTTGGATATTTTCTCCAACAATAAGCATGTACAGCTATGTTAATAAAATATCCTGAAGTAATTCATGTGTCTGGATTTACACTGACTTCAGTGAGAGCTATAAAGAGGTCTCTCCTTCCATTACTGTTCCCTGACATTCACAAGATATGTTACTCATTTGGAAACTTATCAGGTGTGGTCTTGTAATATTTCCTCTTTTAACTAGAATTTCTATCTCCATTATTTTTAAAAAATTTTTCATGTGTTTCAGTCCTGTTTCCCCAGGAATCAAAATCATCACCTCCTTGTCACTGAATAATGCCCTAGCCTGAGCAGCAGTGTGGAATAATTGAGCCAGGCTGCCTGGGATTGAATCCTGGCCCTGGCACTTGCTAGCTGGGTGACGGAGGATGAGTTGTTTAACCTCTGCTCAACCTCAGTTTCCCTGTCTTTAAAACAGAAGTTGAAAGAATAGTACTCATCTCATAGGGTTAACTCCATTTACATTTTTTAAGTACTTAGAATTGTGCCTGGCACACAATAAGTACAATATAATTGACAAATTTCAAAATACCTTTGCCAGCCCCAAAGCTAATGAGGTCATCAGCAAAACCCCAGATAGTGGGACACTACAGGACAAATGACCCAGTTTCATCAACAAATAAATTCCAACGGAAAAAAAAGAAAAGGAGGAGGGAAATGAAAGGAAAATCTTTATACTAAAAGATGCTTAAGGGAGATTTGTACACCATGTTCACAGCAACATTATCCACAAAAGCCAAGAGGGGGAGGCAACCTACGTACACATTGACAGATGAGCAGAGAAATAGATTGTGGTGTATAAATACAATAGCAGATTATTAAGCCTTAAAAAGGAATGAAATTCCAATGCATGCTACAACATGGATGAGTTTTGAAGATACTGTGTTTAAAAAGCCAGTCAACTATATTATTCCACTTACATGAGGTTCCTAAAGCATTCAAATTCGTAGGGACAGGAAGTAGAATGGTGGTTTCCAGGAGCCAGGAAGAGAGAGGAATGGGGAGTTGTTTAATGAGTACAGAGTTTCCGTTTGAGATGATGGAAAAGATTATTGAGTAGTGATGGTGATGGTGGTGATGGTTGGCCACAATGTGAATATACCTAATGCCACTGAACTGTACACTTAAAATGGTTAAAATTGTAAATTTTATGTTATGTATATTTTATCAAGATTATACACACACACCCACACACACACATACACACACTGGTTTTTTTTTTTTTTTTTTTTTTTTGAGACAGTGTTACTCTGTCACCCAGGCTGGAGTGCAGTGGTGCAGTCTCAGCTTACTGCAACCTCTGTCTCCTGGGTTCAAGTGATTCTCCTGTCTCAGCCTCTTGAGTAGCTGGGATTACAGGCATGCACCACCACGCCCAGCTAATTTTTTTATTTTTAGTAGAGACAGGGTTTCACCATGTTGGCCAGGCTGGTCTTGAACTCCTGACCTCAGCCTCCCAAAGTGCTGGGATTACAGGCGTGAGCCACTGTGCCCAGCTTATCAAGATAATAAGTTAAAGAAAATAGAGACAGAATCTCACTCTGTTGCCAAGGCTAGAGTGCAGTGGCATAATCATAGCTCACTGTAACCTCAAACTCTCGAACTCAAGCAATCCTCCTGTCCCAGCCTCCAGAGTAGCTAGAATTACAAACACACACCATCAACCTTGGCTAATTTAAAAAAAAATTAGAGATGGGTCTCGCTATGTTTTCCAGGCTGGTTTCAAACTCCTGGCCTCAAGTGATCCTCCCACCTCAGCCTCCCAAAGTGCTGGAATTATAGGTGTGAGCCACCGCTCCTGGTCTATAACAATTTTTTTAAAGATGTTTAAGAGATATGTCAACCAATCACAATGTGTGGGCCTGATTCAAAAACAAACTCAAACACTTATGACATTTATTAGACAATTGGAAATTTGAACCCTGACTGGATTTTTTTATATTAAAGAATTAATGTTGATTTTTTAAAAGGTGTGATCATGGTTTATAAGAGTACTTATCTTTCAGACATACAAACAAAATCATATAACATGTGAGATTAGATTCAAAATAATAAGGGAGAAGAGGAAATGAATTGGGATAGTCATAGAACAAGACTGGCCATGAGTGGACAATTGTTGAAGCTGGGTGATAGGTACATGGGGTATTCTGTCTACTATATGTTTGTAAGTTTCCATAATAAAATATGGTCAAACAGTTTATTATCATATGTATCATAGTTACATTATGTGTATTATCTTTGTTCTCAAGGGCCTGGCACTGTTCCTGAGATGATAACCACTTTTTAGTTTAGTCTGGTTAATTCCATTGAATTCCAGTCTCAAGACCTAGGAATACAGAAGCCATGGACCTTCCCTCCCAGCCCCATTCTGCACTCTCAGGTCCAACTTGAACTCCCTTCCTATGGCTCATCCATTTACGGTATTAAAGTAGTCAACAACCTCCCAGTTGCAGGGTGCTTGTCAGCAGAAGTTAACCTCATTTTACAGATGAGGACCCTGAGTCCCTGAGAGTTTACTGACTTGCTCAAGCCAACAAGCAGCAGATTTGAGACTGACACCTGGATCAGTGGTTTTAGGTCTGTCCTCTCTCACCTCTCTGAGCAGCTGCTTTTCTCCAGCTCCCAGCCTCCTCATGCTCTAGAAAAAGCTCTGCCTTCTCCCACACCCGCCTCTTCCCCACTCTCCTTCAAAGTGAGGCTAGAGCCCATTTCTGATAAGTCTTCCTCAAGTAGGCTAAAGCCTTTCCCCCCAGTGGAGCGTCACTCTCACTGTCATTTTCCAGCTTCGCATTTGGAGGCAATGGGTCTTTTCCAAGGCACTACAGGTGAGAAGAGCTGGCACCAGGTGGCCTTACCAGGTGGCCACCAGAGGGGCTCTGAGGTCTGAACAACCAGGCTCTGCAGTCAATCCCCATGCCCAGGAGCAGTGGTTCTCAACCTTGGCTGCACATTTAAATCGCCAGGGAAGCAGTGAAACACACCAGTGCCAGGCCCCATCTCCAGAGATACTGACCTCATTGGTGTGGGTGGCCTCAGCCATGTGTTTTGGCTACACTCCTCAGCTACTTTTTTAACTAATCATTTTTAGAGTCAGGGACTTGCTCTGTTACCCAGGCTGGAGTGCAGTGGCACAATCATAGCCCACTGCAGCCTCGAACTCCTGGGCTCAAGCAATCCCACTGCCTCAGCCTCCTGAGTAGCTAGGATTACAGGCATATGCCCAAGCCCAGCTAAGTTATTATTTTTACTTTTTTAGAGATGAAGTCTCTCTATGTTACCTAGGCTGGCCTCAAACCCCTGGCCTCAAGTGATCCTCACACCTCGGCCTCCCAAAGTGCTGAGATTACAGGCATGAGCCATCGCACCTAGCCCTTAGCTATTTCTAAAGCACAGCCAGAGTTGTGGAGCACAGCTATACAGACAACGGGATCCTTTCTCTAAGCAGTTAGTCTTCTTTACCCATAAAAAGAAACTTTTAAAATAAATGGCTGAAAGAAAATGAGCATTGGTATAAACATAACACATAAATAAATGCACAGTAAATGTTGGTTGAAAAACAGATTAAGTTAGAGCGAGATTTAAAGAAATGTAACCTCCATGATTCCTAGGTAGAATAAGTTTACCTTAACTGTCTTCCTTTTTCTACCTGAGCTCTAAAACAGAAATTTCTAACTTCTCTTTCTGGATATCAATTCAAAATCCAGCAGGATATTATAACCAACCTCTGTCCCTAATGGCTGTTAGCACAGCCTCTTCTTTATGTGCCTAAAAGGACTTCCCTGAGGTTTTCAGCACACACACACACACACACACACATATGCACACCCACACACACAAACACACCTCTTTTTATGTAATCAGAAGGGAGAAGAATCTGCATACAGTGCTGACCTTTAGCTCATGGAGAAACTGAGTCCTCGTATTTAGTGGATGCATGTAGTATGCCAGGTACTGCCTGAGCATTTTCATGCTTCATTTCTCTGCTCTCCAACCACACCATGAGTGGGTATATTTATTCCTATTGCATCCACAAAGAAACTGAGGTTTGGAGAGATTAAGTGACTTGCTCAATGTCACAAAGCTCACAAGGACTATCCTGGGACTTACATTCTGGTTTTCAGGCTCTAATTCAGTAGTCTTTCTGTCTTACAGCCATAACATCGCTCTCACCTGCTCACACAAAATGTGTACAGACACAGAGCTACACACGATGAGGAAAGCAGACCTATGTTGCACTGGTCGGGTACTTGTGAATACCAACAAGCAATTGTGGGTGTCCACTCTTCCCTGACACCACGGTGCGCTCTATGGAAACAGAGCCAAGAACTGTTTAAGTGCCTCAACTTTGGGCCCCTCTGCACCTGGTACACAGCCTTGTCATGGCCCATCTCGGCCCCAGCATGTTGTCTGTTTAAACATCTGTCTTACATGTGAGCTCCTTTAAGAGCCCATAATGGGGAGAAAGAATAAGTATTATCTTCGTCATCATTCATTCACTTAACAAATATTTGCTGAATGCTTTCTATGTGCCAGATGGTGGGAACTCAACAGCATGCTGGCATGGAGCATACATACTAGTGGTGAAATGGATATTAGTCAAATAGTCAAACAAGCGGATGGGTGCTGTGGAAAAGCACCGAGGGTTAGAGGACATGCAACGACAAGAAGATCTGAAGGGGCGAGGCAGACATCCTTGAAGAAGTGACATCAGAGCTGAATTCAGAAGGCCTAGACAAGGGCAGTGGGGAGTAGGGAGCAGTCCAAGAGGAGAGAACTACATCATGTGTATGAAGACACAAAAAAAAGCAGAGCCCCTTGGTCTTCACCCAAAGGAGTTGAAAACTTATGTCTACACAAAAACCCACATACGGATATTTACAGCAACTTTATTTGTAATTGCCAAAACTTGGAAGCCACCAAGATGTCCTTCAGTAGGTGAATGGATAAATAAACCATGGTACATCCAGACAGTAGAATATTATTCATTGTTAAAAAGAAATAAGCTATCAAGGCATGAAAAGACCTGGAGGGTCTTTAAATGCATGTTGAATGAAAGAAGCCAATCTGAACAAACTACATACTGCTTGATTTCAACTACATGACATTCTGGAAAAGGCAAAACTATGGAGACAATAAAAAGATCGGTGGTTGGGCAGGGATAAATAGGGGAGCACAGGGGACTTTTAGGGCCGTGAAGCTATTCTATGTAATATGGTAATGGTGAATGCCTGTCATTATGCATTTGTCCAAACCCACAGAATGTACATCAAGAGTGAACCCTAATGTACACTGTGGACGTTGGGCGATAAGAAAGTATTGAAGTAGGTTCATTGATTGTACCACTCTGGTGGGGGATGTCGATAATGGGGGATGCTGTTCATGTGTGTAAGCAAGGGGTGTATGGGAGATCTCTGTATCTTCTTCTCAATTTTTCTGTGAATCTAAAATTGCTTTAAAAAAAAAGCCTTTAAAAGAAAAGAAAAGGTACAGAAGCTAGGGCTCAGAGAACAAGGAGACCAAAGGAAGAGATAAGAGTGGTGATGTGTGTGGGAATCAATCCATGTGGGACCTTAAGAGTGATGTTAAAGATTTTGGTCTTTCACATGCACACATGTTTATTGCAGCACTATTCACAATAGCAAGGACTTGAAACCAACCCAAACGCCCATCAATGATAGACTGGATAAAGAAGATGTGGCATATACACACCATGGAATACTATGCAGCCATAAAAAAGGATGAGTTCATGTCCTTTGCAGGGACATGGATGAAGCTGGAAACCATCATTCTCAGCAAACTAACACAGGAACAGAAAACCAAACACCGCACGTTCTCACTCATAAGTGGGAGTTGAACAATGAGAACACATGGACACAGGGAGGGGAACATCACACACTGGGGCCTTTTGGGGATGGGGGGCTACAGGAGGGATAGCATTAGGAGAAATACCTAATGTAGATCACGGGTTGATGGGTGCAGCAAACCACCATGGCAGGTGTATACCTATGTAACAAACCTGCATGTTCTGCCCATGTATCCCAGAACTTAAAGTATAATAATAACAGAGATTTTGGACTTTACCCTAGCTAACGCAAAGCCACTGGGAGTCCTAAGCAAAGGGTTGATATAAGATTTAAGTTATGAAAATATGGCTGCAGGGTATGGAAGGAACAGAGAGGAGGTCAAAGTGGGTACAGGGAGATAATTAGTAGGCCAGTGTAGTCACCAAAGAGCTGGGTGATCATGGCCTACAGCAGATAATGGCAGAGGGCAGGAGAAGTAAATGGATCCAGGAGATATTAAGGGTGGATATGGCGGAGAGGAGGAAGGGGTGTGGAGGAAGACCTGTAGGCCTCTGGCTTGCAGAAATGTGTGGATGATGGGGCCATCCCTAAAGAAAATGCAGGACCATGGAGCAGAACTAAATGGAAGGTGCTGCAGTCACATCTGACAGGCCTCACATCTGACAGGCTAATCCCAGCCTTGTGTTGCTGTCTTATTATAAAAAGGAAAAAAAAAACAACAGTTGAGCTGATATTTTCAGTAATAAGTGGGCAAGTACTTCAACATTTAATTTATATGTCACTAGTTTCAAAACTCATTTTAAAACCTTCCTATAATCTTACCAGGTTTACGTACACTGACATTATAACACCCAAATTATTTCTGATCTAAAAATAATTACCCCGTATGTTGCTTTGCCTGAAAAAGTGTTGAGAGAAATTATTGGCAAGGAATATTTTTCCATTGCCAAAGAACAGTGAGCCAGTTACCAGTTATGCCTTAACTCATTTCATCCATTCTTAAGGAAACCTATCAGAGGACAGCCACATTTCCAGAACACATTTAGGAGTGAGGGTGTCCCCACAGGAGGGCAGAGCACTGTGACATGATTATGGAAACAAAAAACATGGGGGAAGTCCAGACAAGAAGGGGTCAGCAGCAGGGAGGTTTATTAACAGGCAGCTGGGTAGGGGTGCTGGCAAGAGCAAAGCTGGCCCTAGATGCTGGATCAGAGGTTGCAAACGGGTGGCTCTTAGGCCACATTCAACCTTGAAATATGTTTTATTTGACTCATACAGTGCTACTTTTTAAAAACTGAGCCAACATTTTAAAAATCCAAATTTTCAGCTTCTCTTGAAAACTCAGTAGATCTGGTCAAACTGGGCCACGTTTACCTGTGGTAACAATCAATTGGAACTGAGCAGCCTTTGCCCCTGCAGAGGGGGAGGGCTCTCCCATCTACAACATTTCCATGATGCCCCATCTTTAGGGCTTTACCCAGCTTTAAGTGTCAGCTGACATTTATCATTGCGGTTGCAAAGTGTTGTTTTTCTTATGGTAAAGAAATATTTCTCTGTATCCATGTCTCTATTAAAAGTGAAAAACAAAACATAAACCAAGAAGACTGTACGTTTTCAAGAAAAATGGAGGGTATATTTCCTTACAGAATTAAAAACCCTCCCAGCAGGCGTTAACACACAGTGTGCCGTGGTCCATTTCCCTTACGCCTGTTCTCTTCATTCATTTACATTTATCTGGCCAGCCCCTGTGGAACCCTGGCCAGGGACTCAGATGTAAGGAAGGGACCCTGTTTTAGCGGAAGGGAATATGAAAAACACGTGGCCACAAAAAAGATCAACATTCAGTTATGAGAACCAGGATCCAGGGTGAGGGCCAACTCAGGTAACTCAATGATAGTGATTCTGATGACAGTGAAATGATATGGTTTGACTGGGTTTCCACCCAAAATCTCGTCTTGAATTATCATCCCCCAAATCTGCATATGGCAAGAGCGGGACCAGGTGGAGGTAACTGGATCATGGGAGCCATTTCCCTCATGCTGTTGTCATGATGGTGAGTGATTCTCACAAGATCTGATGGGTTTTTAAGTGTCTAGCATTTCCCCTGCTTGTTCTCTCTCTGTCCTGCCCCCTGTGAAGAAGATACCTGCTTCTCCTTTGTCTTCTGCCATGACTGTAAGTTTCCCGAGGCCTTCCCAGCAATGGGAAACTGTGAGTCAACAAAACTTTCCTTTATAAATCACCCAGTCTCAGGTATTTCTTCATAGCAGTGTGAGAATGGACTAATACAGTTACCAAGAGCCTTTACTAGGCACTGACTGCTTGCTAAGCAGCATGCTAAATACTTTACATATATTCCTTTTAACTCATTTTTCAGACAAGAAACGTGAGGTTCAGAGAGGATAAGTCATCCACCCATAGTCAAGTGATTAATAAACAAGGAAGTTGGGATCCAAACACCAAAACCCAAGGTCTACCACCACGGGCGGTTTCCACTGGAGATGCACACCAGAATCACCAAGGGAGGTATTTAGAAATACACAAGCCTGGGCCCCACCTCCAGAAGATTCTGACTGGGGCAGAGTCTGGGCATCCCTATTTATTTATAAAGCTCCCCAGGTGCTCCATGGGTACAGCTTCAGTGGAGAGCCACTGTGTTGAATGAATGAATGAATGAATGAATGAATGAATGAATGTATGCTGGTGTGACCTGGCTAACTCAAGTAACCGACTAGCTTTTCCCACTAGATGATGTCACCTGGACATGCCCTATATCAGTCTCCACATGAAGACAAATGCCTGCTCCCATCCACCGCTCTGTCAACCCTCCAGAGGCGGAACCAGCACTCTCACACAAAGACCAGTCCTTATTCAATGTGGCATCTTAAAAGCGGGTTCTTCCAAGGAACCACTGCCAGTATCCTTCAGGAGTAGGCTTCCTCCCTAGGGCAGTGTGTGCAGAGCACTTTGTTCAAGTAATGCAGAAGGAAAAAAGCCCTGGCTTGGGGGCAACATGTGACCTCATGAATGTCCCGTGGTAATAGTTGTGGCTCACAGGGATCACAAGCCACGTTAGTACTAGTCGTGAGACCCCCAACTCACCCAGAAGACCCTTATCTGGAACGAATGAGAAACAGAAAGGAAATAGACAAGAGCTCTGGGCAGCATTAAGGGATGTCATGCTCTGAAATTTAAGACTTTCCTTCATAAGAACTTTTCTTCCATGTACTCAAAGCCAATTTATTCTCACTCTGGGCAAAATACTCCAAGTCTGACCACATGAAATATTCACTTTATAAAGCTGCAATGGTGGTATTTTCTCAGCCAAGAAAAACTATTATACGTCTTGAGGCACTGGGTTGTTTTAGATATCATGGGTCATGAAACAGATCCTGTATATATTCTTGCTTTTTCCACTAGGAAGCTCAGGGCCAAATTTCTTATTCACTTTTGGCAATCATGCAAGACCTTTTGCATATATTTCTCTGTACTCACTTCATTCCTGTCTTCATTTTACAGTTCTCCCTTTTGCATATTTTACAATTTTCCAGCTGAGCTATTTATTTTAAAGCACTGCACTGGAAATGTTTATACATCTTTTTTGTTTGTTTTACATTGTTAACATTGTTTTATTCACTGGAGAAAATCAGACGATACAGATCAGGGGTCAGCAAATGTTTTCTGTAAAGGTCCAGATAGTAAATATTTTAGTCTTTGAAGACCATATAGTCACAGTCCCATATTATTTCTTCTTCTTTTTTTTTTAAACAACCTTTTTTCTTTTCTTTTCTTTTCTTTTTTTTTTTTTTTGACTGAGTCTTGCTCTATTGCCCAGGCTGGAGTGCAGTGGCACGATCTCAGCTCACTGCAATCTCTGCCTCCTGGTTCAAACAATTCTCCTGCCTCAGCCTCCCAAGTAGCTGGGATTACAGGCACCCACCACCACGCCCAGCTAACTTTTGTATTTTTAGTAGACATGGGGTTTGACCATGTTGGCCAGGCTGGTCTTGAACTCCTGACCTCAAGTGATCCGCCCACCTCGGTCTCCCAAAGTGTTGGGATTACAGGTGTGAGCCACCGCACCCAGCCTAAACAACCGTTTTAAAAACGTATGAACCATTTTTAGCTTGCAGGCTTAAAAAAAAAAATGATGCTGTAGTTTGCTGTCCTGTGATATGGATTAGAAACTCCATTAAACTGTTACTTGCCAGAAATAACCACTATTAAAATTATGGTACATATCCTTTAAGACATTTTATATGCATATTTTAAGTGAAATCTGCATTATATTATACACACTAATTTTTGGCCTTTTTCATCTAACAATAATTCCCTCATATTTTTCTATGTCAAAACTGGATACAGAAAACACTGTATAAATATTGCACAGCTATATCAATATTTATTCAATCAATTCTTTCTCCTCGAACATTTAGGATGTTTCCACTTTTCACTATAATAGATAATACTTCCACCATTACCTTAGGATAAAGTCCTAGAAATGAATTTTCTAGATCAGAGAAGATACAGGTTTTAAAGTTGTTTGATAAATATTCTCAGATCACCCTCCAGAAAAGTTATATCAATTTACACAACACTTCCACCAGTATGAAAATACGTATTTCCTTAATCTTCATCAATAATGGGAATTACCATTTTTTGCTTGTACCAACCTGAGAGTAAAAGCGTATCCTACTGCATTAATTTTAATTCAATTGATAGCTAGCACACATATTTGTGACTAAGTTCCACATTTTTAACTGCCTTTATTGGCCAATTGTATATATTCTTTGGTGAGTTTCCTACGGAGTCTGAGTTAGTTTCCTATTGCTACTATAACAAATCACCACAAAGTTATCAGCTTAAAACAACACAAATGTACTATTTTATCGTTCTGGAAATCAGAAATCCAAAATGAGTCTTACAGGGCTAAAGTCAAGGTTTTGGCGGGGCTGGTTCCTTCTGGAGGCTCTGAGAGGAAGCTCCTTGCCTTTTTCAGCTTCTAGAGGCCACTTCTATTTTTTGACTCATGGCCCCTTTCTTTCCTCACTCAAACTTCCTGGTTCTATGCCCGTGTCTCCTACTACTCACTCTGACCTCCTGCCTCCTTCTTATAAGAACCCTTGTGATTACCTGGGGCCTACCTGGATGATCCAGGATAATATCCCCATCTCAAGATTCTTTTTTTGTTTGAAATGGAGTCTCGCTCTGTTGCCTAGGCTGGAGTGCAATGGCACAATCTCAGCTCACTGCAACCTCCTCCTCCTGGGTTCAAGCAATTCTCCTGCTTCAGCCTCCGGAGTAGCTGGGACTACAGGCATGCGCCATTACACCCAGATAATTCTTTTTGTGTTTTTAGTAGAGATGGGGTTTCGCCATTTGGCCAGGCTGGTCTCGAACTCCTGACCTCAAGTGATCCACTCACCTCCGCCTCCCATAGTGCTAGGATTACAAGAGTGAGCCACTGCACCCAGCCGCAAGATTCTTAACTCATTACATCTTCAAACTCCCTTTTGCCATGGAAGGCAACATTCACAGGATCCAAGAATGAGGATGTGGACATCTTGAGGCGAGGCATTATTAAGCCTACACTGTGGGCCCTTTGCGCCTCGTGCCTTGGAGTGTTCATCTCTTTCTTATTTTTCCTTTTGTGTATTGAGACGTGTTGACTTTTCCCCCACCCCCCCGATATGGAGTCTCACTCTGTTGCCCAGGCTGGAGTGCAATGGCACAATCTTGGCTCACTGCAAACTCCACTTCCCAGTTTCAAGTGATTCTCCTGCCTCACCCTCCTGAGTAGCTGGGATTACAGGCGCATACCACCATGCCCAGCTAATTTTTGTATTTTTAGTAGAGGCAGGGTTTCACCATGTTGGCCAGGCTGGTCTTAAACTCCTGACCTCAGGTGATCCACCTGCCTCGGCCTCCCAAAGTGCTGGGATTACAGGCGTGAGCCACCGCGCCTGGCCTGTGATGACTATGTTAGTGGATGCTGCGGACCACTGCCCAAATTATCCATTTTGGACCACAGCACTCATTTTCCCAGCTGCTAGGTGGCTCACAAGTGAGTCTCTCCAGAAATTGCCTTGGCCTGAAGGGAGCTGTTCTGGTCTAGGTTAGGCCCCGTCCCTCAGAGCAGCCGGCATCCAGTGTGGGAATACAAAAGCCTGATCCCTTGCCTTGATTCAGGCAGCTCCAGAGCTCCCTGGAGAATTGGTCGAGGCTCCTATTGCAACCACATCGCAGCTCAACTTCTCCCACTTCAGTTCAACTTCTGCTTCACTTCAACTCTTCCCCCTTCCAGTCCTGCTTCCCACACTCTTACAGGTGTTATTCCTAACAGCACTTGCCAAAGAAAAGTTCCTACATACAAATCTTAGAATCTCAGTTTCCCAGGGAATCCAACCTAAGGAACTGGCTTCAGAAATCGTTTTCAGAGCAAAATCTAATATGAGATTTTGGAGCTGGCAGTGAGAACCCCACTGTTGGTGGTCGGTGGGACACTCATAGCCTGTGGCATGCTGAAGCAGTGAAATTGTTCAAACTTTCACCATGGCCAGCTGGAATGGAAGATGGGTAGGGCACTATCACAGGCATTTGAGAGGTTTGAGTGAAGCAATGATCATAAGGAACTTGGAATCAGATGGCTGTTGCTGGGTACAATCAATGTGCTGGGGAAAGATGAAGAGAGGCTGAGAATGATTAATCACCAATTTCAGAGGAGTGTGAAAATCGAAGACACTTCTTAGTAGCATATAAAGAAACTCACATCTCATGTAGATGAAGGGCAGAAAAAGCTGAGGACCCCAGGAGTTATTTAAAAGGGGAGCAGAGCTCCAGAGAAGGGTAAATTTCCAACCCTGACAAATCTGCTATGCTGAAATCAGGGCTCTAATTGGAGAACAGGGCCTGAGACTTGGAATGGAGACACCAGGTCAATTTACCTGAAGACCCTGCTCTCCAGATTCTCCTGAACCCCCAGGCCTGCAGTACTGACCCACTCCTCCCTAACACAGGCTAGGGTGTCACCTTGCTTAAAGATGATCCAAAGATGCTATCATACGTGCCCACCCCAGGCACGTGTATCCCCCCATCTCTTCCTGACCACCAGGCCAAAAACTAGAGTCAAATCACAACACAGCCAGACATGGAAGCCCAGACAAGGTAACACACACCAGAGCTGTGCGACCCAGACAGCATGTCCCACAGGAGCCAAGAGGTGATATGTGGGACTGAATTGTGAGAGTGGTGGCTCATGAGGGAATGGAGCATCAGGTTGATTAAGGATGGGTTGATCATGATGAGAGGACCCTCCCATGATACAGAATATAATGCCCTAGTAAGTATCCTGAGACAAGGAGTTAACACAATGGCTCTTACAAGCCTGGCCTACGCTAAGTGAAGTAGAAATGCCAGAACTGTCATCAAGACAGTGGAGGGAGAAATCACAAAGCTCATGGAAGTAAGCTCACTAGAGAGGAAATTTAACCAAGGCCAGGAGACCATGCGGGGACAGGCAGGGGTGGGGTGGGGTGGGGTGGAGCAGAGGGTACTGGAGGAAAGGCACAGGGTCATGGAGATATTCAGTGCTGGCTCTTCTCTGCAGACCGGGGATGATGGCAGAAAACTCTGTTACAGAACTGGTCTACCTGATAGCAATCGGCATGATAGAATCCCAAATACTAAAAGGCCAGACAGCAGCACTTCACTGTCAAAAGCAAGGTGGGTGCAACTGTCATAATTAGCGGCAAGGTCAGAATAGCAGTCAGGGGCCTGGTCCACAGAGATCTAGGAAGACGTTTAACAGAATGGTGTTCCTCAGGGAAAGATAGATGGGCAGCCAACAAAGGTAGTCCTTCATTTATGGAGCCAAAAACTGAAAAATCAAAAATGAATGATCAGGAGGCTGAAAGCAGCTGCCCCACTAAAAAAAAAAAAAAAAAAATTATGATCCCTTGCCCAGTTTATGGACCTGAGACATTTTGCAGACCTGAAAGCCTCCGTCTGAAGGAAGGCCTAGGTTCCCATGAGGAAAGACCCTGTAACATCATCACAACAAATATATATAATAATGACTCCCTCTGTCTTTCTCCAGAGGGACATCCCAAATTTATACAAGTAATCATAAACTGGGGAAAGAGAAATACCCAGACATTTTGAGGATTGTTAAATACACAGTCTGAGTTGATACTGTACCCAGGGACACAAACATGGCCACCTTGTTAGAATAGAATTATACTAGGGATAGCTAAGAAAAGGCATCCCGGCCCAGGTCCAGATCATAATGAGTCTACTAGGTCCACAGACCCACCCAGTGGTATGTCCCTCTTGTCAAATGTGTGATTGGAAAGGCCATGTCTGGGCGTCGGCAGGATCCCCACACTGGTTCTCTTGTCTATAGAGTAAGAGCCATCAGAGTTGAGCAAGGCCGAGCAGAAGCTTCTGAAACTGTTTCTCCCACTTTCCTAGCCAAAATATTATGTCAAAAACAGTACGGCATCCTGCTGGGGGTGGGAAGAGAACGGCACAAAGACCTAAGAATAAACGGCTAGTGATCCCCATTGTATTCCCATTTAATCCACCAGCCTAGCCTCTTCAAAAACCAGATGGATCCTGGTGGATGACAGTGGACCACTGCAAAGTCATCCAAGTAGCACCTCAATTACACTGCTCTCCCAGAGCACTAGCTTTGCTAGATCAGATTAACGCAGACTCAGGTACACGATATGTGGCCACCAAGTTGGCAAATCCATTATTTTCTATTCAATGGGGAAGAAAAATCAGAAGCTGTTTGCATTTACATAGAACTAATGGCAGGATACATTTATGGTTTTTGTTCAGTGCTATGTTAATCCTCCCACTCTCAGTAACAGTCTGAAGGGCCTCTGGACATTGTGCAGGACACCATATTGGTCTTTTATCTCAAAAGACCAATCTCGTTCACTGGGTCAGCTGAGCAAGAGAGGCAAGTATGCTGGACACTGAGTCAGATACATGTACCCAGAGGGAACTAGACAAACCCTCCAAAGATTCAGGTGCCTACCACATCAGGGAAGTATTTAGGGATCCAGAAGTCTGAGATATTCTCGCCAAAGGAAAGAACTAATTATTGGGCCAGGTGCAGTGACTCAAGCTTGTAGTCCCAGCACTTTGGGAGGCTGAGGTGGGAGGATCGCTTGAGCCCAGGAGTTTGAGACCAGACTGGGCAACATAGTGAGACCCCCATCTCTGCAAAATGAAATTTTAAAAAATTAGCCAGGCATGGTGGCATGTACCTGTAGTCCCAGCTACTCAGGAGGCTGAGGTGGGAGGACCACTTCAGCCTCAGAGTTCAAGACCAGACTAGGCAACAGAATGAGACTCTGTTTCTACATAAAATTTTTAAAAATTAGCCCAGTGTGGTGGCATGCACCTGTTGTATTAGCTACTCAGGAGGCTGAGATAGGAGGATCGCCTGAGCCTGGGAGGTCCAGGCTGCAGTGAACCATGATCGTTCCACTGCACTTCAGCCTCCTTGACAGGGTGAGTCAGTCTCTCTCTCTCAATCTCTCTCTCTCTCTCTCTCTCTCTCGCTTGCTCAACAAAAAAAGAAAAGAGAACTAACTATTGCATCTTGCGCCTCCCAACACTAAGAAGACCTCTTCAGGTTCCCAAAGCAGCATATTTCATACTTGGGAATACTGTTCTGACCCATTTACTGATTGACACAGAAAGCTGCCAGCTTTGTGTAGATCCCAGGGCAGAAAAGGTCTTTGCATTAGGTCCAGGCTGCAGCACAAGCAGCCCTAACAATTCAGCCATATGACCCAGCAGACCCTATAGTACTAGAGGAATCTGGTGGGAAAAAAACACCATGTGGAGTTTGTGTCAAGCCTGAATAGGACAATCACAACACAGACCCTAGGGTTCTGGAGCAAGGCCATGCCATCTGCAGCAGAGAACTAGATGCTGCTTGAAAGGCAGCACTTAATGTGCTTCTGAGCCCTGGAGGAGATGAAGTGTGGACTCCCACTCACCAGGGCGGATCTAACTTCTCACATTGCTGAACGTCCAACCTGCCAGCAACAAAGACCAGAGCTGAGTTCCCATATGACACCAACCCTCGAGGGATGCGACCAGCCACTTGGAGACAAGTTGATTACATTTGAACATCTTCAACCCCAGAAAGGAAGTGCTTTATCTTGACTGTAATCTACACCTATTCTGGTATGGTTTACCTGTCCTGCCCAAAGAGCCTTAGCCAGCACCACTGTCTGTCTGGGGTTTACAGAGTGTTTGATCCACTAACGCAGATCCTACATAACATCACCTCAAACCAAGGAAACTGCATGAGAGCAAAGGAAAGGTAGCAGTGGTCACATGACTATGGAGCCTCTCACAGACCGAATCACTCAGAAGCTACCAGCCTGATGGAGCAATGGAATGGCCTTCTGAAGGCTCAGGTGAGGGGGCCAGCCTGGAGATGATCCCCTGCAGGACAGGGTACCATGTTCCAGGAAGGAACCTAACGAACCCAAAGGAATAATCTAAATGAACGATCATTACATGGTGCTGTGGCCCAACAGGTAGAATACATGGGTCTGGGAACCAAGGGCTAGAGGTCGGAATGGCTCCACTCAGGATCACTCCCAGTGACCCACTTGGAGAATTCATGCTTCTCATCCTTGCAGCTTTAGGTTATGGTAGGTCTAGAGACATTGCCCCCAAAAGAACTTACTGTCATCATGGAACTATTTTATGCCTGCACTGTCCAATGCACAAATTGCCTGTGGGTACTAAGCACTTGAAATGTGGTTAGTATGAGTGGATAACTGAATTTTTATTTGTTTTTTCATAGACGGGGTCTTGCTATGCTGCCTGGACTGGTCAGACCTCAAGTGATCCTCTGGCCTCAGCCTCCCAAGTAGCTGGGATTACGGGCATGAGCCACTGTGTCTGGCTTATTTTATTTAAATTTAAGTAGTTACTCATGGCTGGTAGCTACTATATTGGACAGCACAGGTCTAGAGGGCCTGAGCAACAGAGAGGGAAGGCTTTCCATGTGAGACAATGGTAAAGGTACCATTAATCTTTCAGCTACAGAGACCACCTGGTTACTTCAGGCCCCTTGTGCCAAGAACCCAGCAGACCAGAAGAGGAGCCACTGCCCTGGTAGGGGTAACTGATCCTGGTCATCAAGAGGGGCAGGGCTGCTCTTAGGTGATGGGGGCCTGGAAGAGTGCGTTTGGTGCCCAGGTGATCCACTGGGATAGTGCTCCGTGGTCCTTTGCCCAATTTTGACAAGTAAATAGACAGTGCAGCAGTCATGGTCTGACAAGAACACAAGAACACAGGACCAGGGGCTCAGGGTCCTCAGGAATGAGGGTCTGGCTCAGCCCACCCAGTAAGCCATTTAAATCAGCAGAGATGCTGGGGAATATAGAACAGAGAGCAAAGGAGAGATGATGGGTCTCAGCTGTTTCCCAAAGCCCACTGTAGCAGTGGGGGTTGTAGTTTGTCCCTCTAACTTCCTCTTGTAAGCTTCCTAGGAAAACAAACCATAGAATTCTAGGGAAGACATGCCAGAGGGGTGAACTTACTAAACAGAGAAAGTGAATGCCAGCAGCAGGAGCACTGGGTGGGGTGGGGCTGCCATCCACTGTCCAGGTCCTCCCTTCCCCTTCAGGAGCTGGGCACCGCTACCCCAGCTGCAGGGAGTGCTGGCTGCTGACCAGAAGCCACCCTCGGCCAAGTGAGCTGCGTTACCCACATTTATGTCCCCTCCCCAGGGGCAGCCCACATCCAGTAACTATTTGACATAGGGGTAGGAAGACCCAACACCCTTGCCTTGATTTGGGACAAATCTGAAGGGCTCTCCCACCTTCAGGGCTCCCTGCGGCATCAGCTGAGGCCTCTGCTGCAACTGTGTGCTGTGTGGCAGTTCAATCTCTCTGTGCCCAATCCTGCTTCCCTCTCTCCCTTACAGGTACTGTTGTGGAGAATAGCCCTGCAACATAAAGCTCCTGCACGCACATCTGTTTGGAGCCAGTTTCCCGAGAAATCTGACCTGTGTTGTAAATATCTGCCTTGGTTATTGTTTATAGATATAGTGGATACTGTGGGGCTCCACCTCAATCCCTTTTGCTGGGCTGATATGCCTGTCCCCCCAGCTGCTAGGAATATCAGCTGCTGACAGTGAACAACTGAGTCCTTTACTGGAACTTGCCCTCAGTGTCAGGGAGCTGCCTCATCCCACGGGGCAGCCCAGGGCCAGTGACTGGCCGATGCAGGAAAACAAAGGCCCAGTCCCACTGCCTCAATTTGGGACCGCCCTGAAGGGCCATTACAGCTCCAGGGCTCTCCCTGGGATCAGCAACAGCCTCAGTTGAAACCACAGTGGTGGTCCATCTCTGCCTCTGCCCCCTCCCTCCTACCGTCCGTCCTCTTTTGGCCACAGTCGACTTTCCCATACACTCCCCAATAAAACTTTTGCAGGCAATTCTCCATCTCAGAGTCTTTTTCCTGGGATCCCAACTTAACAGTGGCTTTGATTTTCAGACATTTTTAAATTCTGTATTCAAATTTACCAGTCTTTGTTTTGGTGGCTGCTGCCCCTTGGTATCATGCTTAGGCAAGCCCTGCAGCGTCCAATGGTTATATCAGTAGCCACTTCTACCATTTTATGGGTTTTTTTCACACTGAAATATTAAAGCTAGAAATGATTTTGCTGTAAAGATTGGAGGTTGGGGAGTAGAAAGCTAACATTTTAACTTTCTTAATTCCTTTTTTATTGTGGCAAAATACACATAACATAAAATTGACCATTTTAGCCATTTTGAAATGTACAGTTCAGCAGCTTTAAGTAAATTTACATTGTTGTACAACCACCACCACCACCATCCATCTCTACAACTTTTTCATCACCCCCAACTAAGGCTCTATACCCATTAAACACTGACTCCCAATTCTCCCTCCTTCTCTGCAGCCCCTAACAACCACCATTCTATTTTCTAAGAATTGGTCTTCTCCAGGAACTGCACATAATTGGAATCATAGAATATTTGTCTTTTTCTGTCTTCTGTATTACACTTAGCAGTATGTCCTCAAGCCTCATCCATGTTGTAGCATATGTCTGAATTTCCTTCCTCTTTCAGGATAAATTATATTCCATTTTGTGTGTGTGTGTGTGTGTGTGTGTGTGTGTGTGTACACTAAATTTTGTTTATCCTTTCATCTGTCAATGAACACTTAGGTTGAGTCCCCTTTCAGCTATTGTGAATAATGCTGCTATGAACATTGGTGTACAGATATCTGTTTGAGTCCCTGCTTTGAATTATTTTGAGTGTCCTTCCAGAAGTGGAATTACTGGATTCAATGGTAATTCTATGTTTAATTTTTTGAGGAACTGCCATATTGTTTTCCATGGTGGCTGTACCATTTTACCACCAGCAATGCAGAAAGGTCCATTTTCTTCACATCCTCACCAATACTTGTCATTTTGTTTGCTTCTGTGGTGTTTTTTTGTTTTTTAATAAAAGCCATCCTAATGGGTGTAAAGCGGTGACTCGTGGTTTTGATTTGCATTTCCCTAAAGGTTGGTGAACTTGACCATTTTTGCATGGGCTTAATGGCCATTCGTTTATCTTCTTTGGAGAAATGTCTATGTAAGTCCTTTGGTCATTTTAATTAGGTTGTTCTGACATTTAAACTTTTTAAATGTAACCAGTCATCCTCAATACCTTTTGTTGATAAATTCAGTTCTTCTCAATCATTTCACATTCTAATTTATTATATATTAAATTATTGTATTTATTCAGGCACGCTTCTAGAGTTTCTATTCTGTTCCACTGACTGGCTATCTCTTTTTGGTTTTAGAGCACAATGTTTTAATTAACATAGCTTTATAAGTCATCCTATTAGCTGTTGTTTTGTTTTGCTTTATGTTGCTTCAAATCATTTTAGGAAAATGGCAGAACATTAATACCATAAGTCTTAAGACCTAGGATGTTATTGATTCATCACTCCACAAATACATGTGGAAGACTATTGCTGGGATTGAGGATGCAGAACAGACTAGGGGCAGGGGCTGGGGGCTGGCACAGTCAATGGGGCATGTACATGCAGGAAACCAGAAGCACACATCATGAGGAATCTAGTCCAAGGAGTCAGGAAAGGCCTCCTTGAGAAGGTAATGTTTGAGCTCGAATCTTAACAAGGTAGAACCAAGAGAACGCAACCAGGAGAACGAAGCAAGCGACCAGGGCGGGGGTGGGAGGATGCAGCCAGGCAAAGGGCAGAATGCCAGCAAGCCACGTGTGCAGTCTCCAGCTGAGATGGGACTAGGGGAGGATGAGGGCCAGGCAGAAGGGCCAGCCGAAGGACTGTGGACTTTCTGCTAGGAAGAGTAGGCCATGGAAAGCTTTTAAAAAATAAACAGGTTTATTGAGATATAATTCACATATACAAATTACCCCTTCAAAGTGTACAATTCAATACTTTCTAGTATATTCACACATATGCACAATCACCACAGTCAATTATAGAACATTTTCGTCACCTCAAAAAAAAAAAACCCAAATACTATGTAACATCCATTATAATGGCCACTACCAAAAAAGTCCAGAAAATAACAAGTGTTGATGAGGACATAGAGAAATTGGAACCCTTGGGCACTGTTGGTGGGAATGTAAAATGATACAGATGCTATGGAAAACAATATGGCGGTTCCCCCCTAAAAATTATCATATGGTCCAGCAATTCTACCTCTACGTATATACCCGCAAGAATGGAAAGCAAGATTCCAAACAGAAATTTGTGTGTTCATGTTCATAGCAGCATTATTCAGAATAGCTGAAATGTGGAAGCAGCTCACATGCCTGTCAACAGATGAGTGAATAGCAAAATGGAGTGTATACATACAAGAGAATATTATTCAGCTTAAAAAGGAAAGAAATTCTGACATATGCTACAACATGGATGAAACTGGAGGACGTTGTATTAAATGAAAGAAGTCAGTCACAAAAAGACAAACAGTGTATGATTCTACTCATCTGAGGTACCTGGAGTAGTCAATATTGTAGAGACAGAAAGTAGAATGGTGGTTGCCAAGACTAGAGGGTGGGAAGAATGGTGAGTTATGGTTTAATGGATACAGAGTTCAGTTTTACAATATGGAAAGAGTTATGGACATGGGTGGTGGTGATGACTGTACAACATTATGAATGTATTTAATACCACTGAACTGTACATACACTTAAAATGGCTAAGAAGGTAAGTTTGATGTTATGTGTATTTTACCATGATTAAAAAAATGGAAAATGCAACCTAAATATACCCAGACCTATTTTTTAAAAGACACCAATAAACAGACATCATCTTGCTTTCATTAAAAAGACAAACAGGAAAATAATCCCATACCTTTAGCAACCACTGCCACCCCCCCGCCCCACTTCCCGCTCTCTGCCAATCTCTAAGCAACTACTAATCTACTTTCTGTCTATGTATTTGCCTATTCTGGACATTTCACACGAATGGAATCCCACAGGATCTTATGTGACTGGCTTCCTCTTTCACTTAATGTTTTTAAGGCCCATCCATGTCGTAGCATGCATCAGTACTCCATTCCTTTTTATGGGCAAGCAGTTATCTATTTTATAGATCTACCACATTTTGTTTGTCCATTCGTCAGTTGATGGACATTTAGATTCTTTCCACCTTATTGGCTATTCTAAATAATGCTGCTATGAACATGAATGTACAAGTGTTTAGGTAGACATATGCTTTCATTTCTCTTGGATACATACCTAGGAGTGGAACTGCTGGGTCATATGGTGACTCTATGTTTAATCATTTAAGCGACTGCCAGACTGTTTTCCAAAGACCATTTACATTCCCACATGGAATGAACAACGGTTCCAGTCTCTCTACATCCTCACCAGCACTTGTTATTATCTGACTTTGGATTTTAGCCATCCTGGTGGGTGTGAAGTGACATGTCATGTGGTTTTGATCTGCATTTGCCTGATCAAGGAAGGCTTTTAAATGGGGGCCCAATACAATCAGACTTTTGAACAGTTCACTCTGGATAAAGAATTTGAGGACAGCAAGAAGTCCATGAGGTTGTGGTTAAGAGGCCACCGCTGTTGTCTCGAGATGATGGTAGCTTGGACTATGATCAAAGAGATGGTAAAAAGCAGAGAGTTGGAGAACTAGCAGATAAAACCTACAAGGTCTGGAGATCACTGGGTGGGGGCATGAAGGAGGTATCAAAGGTTTCTTGTTTGTAGAACTGGGTGGATGATGGTGCTCTCACCAAGAGAACCCAGAAATATAATTTTTAATTGTGATGAAAAAATACATAATATAAAATTTACCATCTTAACCTTTTTAAAATGCACAGTTCAGTAGTGTTATGCACATTCGCAATGTTGTGCAACCAATTTCCAGAACTTTTTGTCTTTGCAAAACTGAAACTTTACACCCTTAAAAAAACAACTCCCTATTTCCCCTCTCCCCCAGCCCTGGCGACCACCATTCCACTTCCCGTCTCTGTGAATGTGACTACTCAGGAAATCTCATATAAGTGAAGTCAGACAGTATTTGTCTTTTTGTAACTGGCTCATTTCACTTAGCATGATATCCTCAAGGTTCATCCATGTTGTAGCATGTGTCACAACTTCCCTTTTAAGTGAGAACACAGAAATATTTTTTACTGACCAGCAAAAAGCATAGGTTTATTCAAACCACTTTCTTCTTCAATACTACACTCAAAGTTTGAATCTAAGCCTTCTTCAGATGCAGATTCTCAGGGTTCGTCTGAGTCGGTGCCTGTCTTGGCCAGATGGGCACAGCATTCTGCTGAAGCCCTGCTGTTTGTGACCCAGACTGCAAGACCTTGAACCCCTCAGCATCTTTCAAATGAACAGAACAATTCTCAGGCAAACCCAAGGATAAAGGAGATAAGGGCCTTTCATCTGAATTTCCTATTTGGTTATTTGCTGTTTCACTTTTCTTTAATTAAATTATCTGCTGATGGGAACTAGACAGTTTATCTTTAAAGTCTGTCCAAAGCTTTTAATAATTTCGGGCACTTGATATTCCTTCATGACACAAAAGTTGGTCACGGCCACCTCCCTTAACTCTGAAAATTTTATGATCTATTCTGGGAGATTTGGCAATTTCAACTGCCTTTAATCATCTTGGCTGGCACATGACAGCAATCTTCTACATTCACAATAATTGTATTACTTCATTATAGTGTCATCTTCTAAAACACATAATAAGCAATCATTTAGGAATCCAAATGTAAGTTAAAATTCAAGTGACTGTAAAGTCTCCAATGAAATAAGTGACCATAGCAACTGAGGTGGGAAATAGATGAAACCCCATGTACACGGAGATGGTGACAATGTCCACAAGAACTTATTCCTTTGTCCTCTGGCAAGGTACATCCTGGTTTCAGAAACATTAAAATATCCAGGGAAGATGTGCATCTTAGAATCAAGAAGACCCGGTGCATATAGAGAGGCAAAAGGAATATAAGGTTTATGTACAGCCACAGAAAGTGCCAGCTGGCACCAAGAAAATAAAATAGCCAAATAGATAATCGCCTCGTGCAGCACTTTTTATACCAAGAATCATAGTGCATGGTGGGGAAAATGCTACATGTGCAGAGGACAACTAATGAGGACTGAGATGAAGATCTTGAGTCATCAATAAAAGACTGAATTAAAATCACCGTATCTTAGAAGGTGGAATGTGAACAGGACTTATCTCTGAGAGGAGTAGATGAAGGGAGAAAATTATTATACTTTATAAGTATTTTCTTGGTTTTTCTTCTACCATGAATATGTACGAGAAAACGTTTTCTAAGTTGAAAAAAAAAAACAGGGAATAAAAAGATTTTAGAAAGATACACAGGATGGCCAATATCTAAAAGAAAACACTTTTGGTGTTTAAATGTGAAAACTTTAGGTCCCTGAAAATAAGCACCCGAGTACAATTGATGCCCTAAAGATCCTGAATAAACGGGGCATAACAGAGCATGGAAAGCCTTGCATAATTGCCACTATCACTGTGGTTTTCCTATAAAGCACTGTTCGACACACAAGCCCTTGTCTGACCTACGCTCACTGCTAACACTTCAGCTGCTGCCTCTGAAGGTCATGAGGAGCCCTGTTGAGGAGGAGATAAATGATAATGGTTTTTTTTAAGGGCAAAGCCTCGTTTGAGGCCCATCAGTCACTGCAAATCCTGTCCACATACCCCACATCAATCCTCTAGGGAAGGAGAAATGGTTTATAAACTTTGCTTAACAGTTAGAGACTCCCTCCTCCAGCCTTGCACAGTTCAGGCTGTGTGGTCATTTCTGTCTCCATCATCATCTAGAGAGGGAACAGGGGGTTTTTATAAACTTCCCTTGGCAGTTCTCCACTCCACTGCCCAGGATGGTGCCTGGAACACAAAAGGAGCCTAAGATAGAGTAGCTAAATGACATGGAAATCCAAGCTTCCACAGGATTCCCATGTCCAGTTGCTTGTTCTTACAAGTGACTTCACTAAATCCATCCACACAGCCCAGGAATCGCAGTGGTGTCATCAACATTACTCTGAACAAACAGATCCCACCCAATCACGAAAGCCAGGAATGCCACGTGAACATCTGGGGGTGCCATAGGATCCTTCACCTTGTCCATTTTCACTTCAAAGTGCTGGCTCCTGGTCTAGGGGCCCTGAGTGCTGGGTGCCTGGTGGGCAGTGAGGGTTGAGAGTGGGGGAAGAGGCAGAAATAGGTAAGAAAAAAATCCCCACCGCAGGACCTTTTGTGTTCCAGGCACTGCAGGAGTCCAGTGTAGCAGAGGGCAGGGCGGCACCTGGATCTCACACACCTACAGTACAGGACTCGGGTGTGATGGATGAAAGAGGTGAGATGCCCACACAGGAGAGTCCATGACAGATGAGACAAGAAGAGAGGCTACAAGGTGGCGGCCCAGCATGGTGGGGCCAAACTGCCAGCCCTTAGCTGGGTCTCAGAGCTGAAGAGATGTCAGTACTCCTGCTATGAACAGGGCTCAAGGAGGATAAGGGAGACCCTGAGACTGGAGGGTTCAAGGCCATGGAAGAGGCTGTGCATGTGAGCCATCCACAGGGGCATTGTGGAGGGGACAGTGTGGAAGCTTCATTTCTCTCTACACCCTCTTCTCTTTCTGCCTCCCTAGGCTTCAGTGGCAGGAGTCCCAAGGACTAGTTTGGAAGGAATCCCCAAATCTTAAAGTGAAAGTTCAGCTGGCCAGGCTCTCCCTTCTCACGAAGCTGGAAACTGAGGTTCACAGGAAGCATGTGTCTTCCCCAGGCCTCTTAGAGGGTCTAGGGAAGAGGATGGAACCTGG